>NC_000011.10:104445151-104748182 GCF_000001405.40 Homo sapiens | reverse complement strand
GAAACTGTCCTGGCGTTGGTCAGAGTGTAGCAGTGAGAATGACCAGAGGTCATCGCCGTCTTGGTTTTGGGGGCTTTAGCTGGCTTCTTTACTGCAACCTGTTTTATCAGCGAGGTCTTTATGATCTGTATCTTGTGCTGACCTCCTATCTTATCCTATGACTCAGAATGCCTTAACCATCTGGGAATGCAGCCCAGTAGGTCTCAGCCTCATTTTACCCAGCTTCTATTCAAGATGGAGTTGCTCTAGTTCACATGTCTCTGACACTGTGATTACTTTCTTCCCTTTCCACCCCACTAACTCAGTTGACTCTTTAGAAGAATTGTTTATGAGCTGATGTAACTTTCTAGAATTTGCGCCTTGTCAAATTATCTTTTATCTGTGTATCTTTAGTAACGTGCACAGAATTTTTCATACAGCAGGCAGTCAATAATGTTTTAATTAAAAATTTAAACATGCTCCTAGGATCAAGATTTTCCAATAAACTGTATATTTTGGCTTAAGTTTCAGGTTAAACATAGCGAAGCAAGGACAATAGAAAATTTAATTAGGTAGGGCAAATTACTCAATACAATAATTTTTAATAATCTTTTTGTGATATGTGGAAAGACAATTCATTCTTGTGATTAGCACTGAAAGTATCCTTCTATCACTGGGGACCATGCTTACCATTGAAACGGGAGAGTTCCCGTCCCCCTCGCAGGGTGTGTGACAGGGATATGGCTTGCTCCTTAGGTGCCCCACTGCCTAAACCCCTAGGGGAAGCATGAAGATGGGCAGGTGCTGAGGCCCTGGAGAGAGCTTTTGGGCTCCGACCCCACAGCAGTATCTAGGACTACTCCTGAAGCCCAAGTGGGCGTGTGTTACAGTGTGCTCTTTCAGCTTTGCCATCTGCAGATGGCTGGCGTTAATCAGCTCAATAGATGCTCTGCCTTATTGCAAGGACAGGGGGCCAGTGTGACAGCCTGGGTTCTTGCCCAGTGAACCAGAAGAATCGGAATACAGGTGGGCTTGGAGGATGAGTGCAAGGTTTTATTGAGTGGTGGAGGTGGCTCTCAGAGACATGGATGGGGAACCAGAGATGGGGAATGGAGTGGGAAGGTGTTCTTCCCCTGGAATCTGGCTGTTCTCAGCCAATGTTCAGTTGCTTCTTCCCTCCTTCTCTACCATGCCAGCACACTGCTCTCCACTGCTCTATGCCACTCTGTTCCTCTGCTCCTCTCGATATTCAACCACTTGTGTCTGTGCTTGGTAAGGTCTCGGGTTTTTATGGGCACAGAATGGTAGGTGTGGTAGGTCAGAGTGGTCTTGGAAAATACAACATCTGGGCATGAAAACACGAGTGCCAGTTCTTGCTTAGGTCCATGGGCATAGGCCCGAGGGTGGAGCCCTCGCCAGGTACCCTGCTTTTCTCTACCCAGCACTTCCCTGCTTCCTGTCCATATCACCATGGCTTGTAAAGCCTTCAAGCCATGGGATCTGGCTACTTCTTTCCAGACTCAAGTCTTCTAGCTCCGCTACAAACACACCAGCATGTCTTTCTGTTTCTGAAATGCACCATGGTGTGGTAAATCCAAATGTATCTGCGACAAGTTTCAGTCAATTTAGAAGCTGACTTTGCCCAGGTTAAGCACATGCCCGTGAAACAGTCTCAGTAGGTCCTGACAACATGTGCCCAGGGTGCTCAGGCTACAGCATTCCAGTATGATTTCATACTTTTTTTTTTTAATTATGCTTTAAATTCTAGGGTACATGTGCACAACGTGCAGGTTTGATACATAGGTATACATGTGCCATGTTGGTTTGCTGCACCCATAAAATCATCATTTACATTAGGTATTTCTCCTAATGCTATCCCTCCCCCATCCCCCACCCTGCAACAGGCCACTGTGTGTGATGTTCCTGCCCTGTGTCCAAGTGATCTCATTGTTCAATTCCCGCCTATGAGTGAGAACACGCGGTGTTTGGTTTTCTGTCATTTTAAGGAGACCAAGACGTCAATCAGTCAATCAATACATGTAAGATGTACATTGGTTTGGTCCAGAAAGACAGGACAACTCTTAGCAGGGGCTTCCAAGTCATGGGTGGTTTCAAACATTTTCTGATTGGCAGATGGTTGAAAGAATTTATCTAAAGACCTGGAATCCACAGAACGGAGTGTCTGGGTTAAGATAAAATGTTGTGGAGACCAAAATTTTTATTATTATGCAGATGAACCCCCCAGGTAGCAGGCTTCAGAGAGAATCCATTGTGAATGCTTCTTAGACTTAAAAGAGTGTCAGACTCTTAGATAATTCTCTCCTGGATCAGGAAAAACACCTGAAAAGGAAAGGGGATTCTCTACAGAATATATATGTTACCCATAAGGGCAGCTTTATGGGGTGATTTCAAAATATGGCAAAGAAATATACTTCGGGGTAAAATACTTTGATTTCTTTCAGGGCCTGTTAAATGTTATATTGGTATCTTACTGCTAAAAGGAGGCTGTTTTGTCAATCTTTAGGTCCCTCTTAATGCTGGTCAGTTGTGCCTGAATTTACAAAGAGAGGAAGGTATAATGAGGCAAGTCTGACCAACTGTCCATTCTCATCATGGCCTGAACTAGTGTTTCAGGTTTGCTTTAGAGTGTTCTTAGCTGAGAGGAAAAGTCCATTAAGCCGGGGGCTTAGAATGTAATTTTTTGTTTATAGTATCTGATAGGACAAGAGTACCGCCATCTTTATAACACTCCACCATCTTAAGCCATCTGGCCAAAACGCAAATGTTAGCCCCGCCCACAGCTTCAACAGAGCATAAAAAAACAGCCAGCACTATTCCAACCTCTTCCTAATAAAATCTTGCTTCAAAGCACACTTATCCCCCCGGACCTTTAAAAAAGCCTCAGGCAGGCCTGGCACGGTGGCTCACACCTGTATCCCCAACACTTTGGGAGGCCGAGGCTGGTGGATCACTGGAGGTCAGGAGTTCGAGTCCAGCCTGGCCAACACGGCGAAACCCCGCCTCTACTAAAAAATACAAAAATTAGCCGGGTGTGGTGGCAGGCGCCTGTAATCCCAGCTACTCGGGGGGCTGAGGCAGGAGAATCACTTGAACCTGGGAGGCACAGGTTGCAGTGAATCGAGATTGTGCCACTGCACTCCAGCCTGGGTGACAAGAGGGAGACTCCGTCAAAAACAAACAAACAAAAAGCCTCAGGCTGTAAGAGAAGTTTGATCCTGACCCTGCTGGCCAAAAGCCCTTCTCAGGTTTATTCTCAATAAACCTGTCTTTAATTGTTAAACTGTTAAACTGCCTTCTTGCCTCTTCTTTCCTTAATCTTTCTATCTCAACATTTGTGTCAAAACCTGGGATAGGTGTTGGGGCAGGGAACTCTCTTGCAACCGAGGAAGCAATGGGCAGCGGCAGCTGGTCCCGGGCTAACTCCTGGATCCTGAGGGTTCTCTGGCTTCCTGTTCCCTCCTTCAACCCTTCCTCTCTTTTCCGTAAGCGAATTGCGTGTGTTAACTGACTGACCCGAGAGGACTGCAAGGTTCTGGCCAGGGATACTCCCCGATGGGTTTTCAAAATCCCCGGACCCAGAATTTTGCCACCAACCACCCAATCTGGGTAATTCGCTTTCTTTCTTTCTTTTTTTTTTTGAGACGGAGTCCCGCTCTGTTCCCCAGGCTGGAGTGCAGTGGCGCGATCTAGGCTCACTGCAAGCTCTGCCTCCCAGGTTCACGCCATTCTCCTGCCTCAGCCTCCTGAGTAGCTGGGACTACAGGCGCCCGACACCACGCCCGGCTAATTTTTTGTGTTTTTAGTAGAGACGGGGTTTCACTGTGTTAGCCAGGGTGATCTCGATCTCTTGACCTCATGATCCGCCCGCCTTGGCCTCCCAAAGTGCTGGGATTACAGGCGTGAGCCACCGCGCCCGGCCTTCGCTTTCTATTTCTCCCCCGTGGCTCAAGTCTGAGAGGTCCTTTGTCGGTTCCCTCTAAAGCATCCAACACCGGACATTAATTCGAAAAACTGGTAAAATTTGCCCCCCACATGTCCTTCCTGTGGTACCCAGGAAAGTCAGGTCTGCAGTCCTGGTCCCTGAGGAACCATCAGGGACCTTAGGAGGTGAACGTTCAGGGACACCTGACGTCTCCCTGCAATCTGCCTCTTCTCTGGGAGAAAATCTCTGGTCTCTGCCCTTTATCTGCGGATGCCTAGTCTAACCGCAGACACCTCCGGCCTTTCCTTGCTAGTTCTCAATGGGGTCCAAGCAATCTCAAATTCCTCCCTCCTCTCATCTCGATTATCAAAGCCTAACCCTTACTTGTCTACTGCAATACAGCTTGGCCCCAGTACAAATTAAATAACACTGGCCTTTGGTGTGAGAACGGCGCTTTCAATTTCCAAGTTCTTAGGAACCTAGAAAATTTCCTCAACTGGAACGGCAAAAGGCAAAAAGTCCCCTATCTTCAAGCCTACTTTTACATTCGCTCACACCTCTCTCAGTCCTCAACCTACCCCGGCATGTCCCCCAACCTGCTCCCATACAGCCTGGGTCTCTTTCCCTGTCAGCCCCACCCGCTCAACCTTCCTTCCCTCCTTCCTTCTCCCCGGCTTAACTGTCCAGAGACTGCTCTTGCTATTCTCCCTCTCCGGGAGGGAGCAACCATAAATTATTAAAAAACCCTGTCCTCTTTTTTTCTTTTCCCTCACCTCACAGAGGCTATGCTAAACTATACTAAACTAAACCCAGAATCTAGGGAAGGTCAAACCTTCCTCCATCTCCAGTTCATCTCCCAGTCTGCCCCCAGTATTCAAAGAAAACTCCAAAGCCTAAAAAAGGGCCCCCAAACTCCTCAGTGGAAACCCCTGAGTGCCGCCTTTCATGTCTTCTACAATAAAAAAAAAAAGGAAAACAAAATGTAAAAAGCATCTTCACTTAAAATACCAAATGCTTGCCTCTGCTGTTCAAAACCCCCCTGGACACTCAAAAG
The DNA here is from genome assembly GCF_000001405.40 of Homo sapiens. Taxonomy (NCBI): domain Eukaryota; kingdom Metazoa; phylum Chordata; class Mammalia; order Primates; family Hominidae; genus Homo; species Homo sapiens. Next base: position 104,743,206 of record NC_000011.10, on the reverse strand, counting down.
GGAATCCTCCCAATACCCCAAGAGTTGGCTTCTGTTGTGGCAATCCTGGACACTGGGCAAAGACGTGCCCAAGCCTTCCCCACCCCCCATCCCCACCCCTGCCCCACTAAGCCATGCCTGACATGTGGTCAATGGGAACACTGGAAAATGGACTGCCCCCAACAGGTACACCCTCCCTGTTCAGGTGCGGCCCAAAAAGTAGCCCCTTAACTGCCACATAATAAAATCTCTTCTCTGCTGGCACTGTCAACAAACAACTGAAAAGGCTGGGATCCTTTGCCCCCACAACCAGTGAGTCCACGGAGCCCAGGATGATCGGGACGGTATCTGGTAAAACTGTTTCTTTCCTTTAAATACTGGGGCAAGCTCATCTGTATTAACTAAATACCAAGGTCCTTTAACCCATTCCTCCATCTCTGTTGTTGGCATGAGGGACATTCAGGAAACTCCTATGCAAACACCACCCTTATACGCCTCCCTGTCTGTCGCCACAAAGGATCAAAAATTTCCCCTCCCTCTAGACGCACATGTGGAAACAGAAAGGGTGGTCCAATTAATTCCCATCCTCCCTGCTCTGGGAATTTCCTCTGCAATAGGCCTTAGTTCTACAAGTCTAGCTTTTTCACTTCTCTTGTCTGCTCAACTAAAGGAGAAACTAACGGAGTTAGCAGCCCAAGTGGAGCATGCACAAAACCAAATAAACTCCCTAGCAGCCCTACTACTCCTAAATCAGAGGCTGTCTAATAATAATCCCAAATTCACTGCCCAAATCACTCCAAATCTTCTAAGCCCTTCATACTACCTGGAAGTTCCATATCCCTTACCTACTTCAATCTTCTGGGAAGGTAAAAAGGACAAATGGCATTCTAAAAAATGCTCTCCCAAAATTGCTAATTGGTTCCACCTTTCATCCCTCAAAAAATCCAATCCTCCCTCATCCAGCCCCCCACCAACACAAAGTAAACCCCTCCCAACCTTTTCCTGTGTTTCCACAGGGCCTACATCCATCTGCCTAACCAGGATTCCCAAAGAAGAAATTTCCACCTAAACCTCTCTATTAAAAGCCTATCAACTCTCTCTGTCTCTCTCCCCACAATTTTTGCCTCTTCCTCACACTCCTTAGCTCAGATATTACCTGGTGCCCTCACATGGAGCCTCTAGTTTCCCCTAATCAAATCCTTAACCTTCTGTGGGACTTGCGGCTTCAAGATGCCTCTCAGGATTTCTCCCCCACCCAAATAACTTTCTTTTCCTTAGGCCTGCTGTTCCTTCTTACCTAAGTTTACTTTTCCTCACTACAATGGAATCCTTGGCCCCCATCAAGTCACTACTCAACATTAACCATCTGGAACGCTCTTTAAATCTCACTCAGTACCTTCTGCGGCAAGCTAATTCCTCTTATGCTTATAATTATTGAATGTGCCTATCACTCTCCTTGTCAGCATATAACGCCCTACCAGCACCTCTCCCTACAGTGTTAACTCAAAATACATTTCTAATTTACAAACTCCAAAAGGAGTCTTCCTTCTTTGAAAGGGCAGACACTCTACTTGGCAACTACACTAACTAATTTGCTAACCAAGCCAACAAACTGTTCCAAGCAGATTATAACCCCCTAACAAGATATGCCTCCTCTGACCCCTCTATGGAAGGACCCATTGCTCTTCATGCCCCCCTCCTTCAACAGGTTCTACTCTGTTTTTCAGCCATGCAGGTACATCCCCCGTAGGTTCCCTCATCCCAGGAGAATGTAACAAAACCATTTCTATCCAGCATCCTACAGACCATCAAACTAACCAGGCTGAATATCAAGTTTCACCAGAGGCCAATGGGTTGTTCCTCCAACGAGTCCGCTTTACAGCTCCCCCACCCCCCTATAGTCACAGCTGCATCTTTTAATTGCTCTATCCCCAACACTCATCTCTATCCGTGGCTATCCATAACCGGTGCCACTTCATATTTCATTAAATGTACAAAGGTCAACTCCTAACACATCTCCACTATCACTGAAGCCTCCCTTGCATCTCCACTGTCTGTTTGGAGACAGAAACCCACCACAAAAAAACAGTCCCTTAATCCACCTTTTGCCCTTCATATCTCTACCTGCATTTCCAAAGCAGGCTTGTTTTTCTTGTGTGGCACCAACACATACCTCTGCCTCCCAACTAATCGGACAGGCACCTGTACTCTGGCCTACCTTTCTCTAGCCATTAGAATACCTCCCCCTAACCAATCCTTGCCAGTGCCTTCCGTTCAACATGTCAAACAGAAAAGGGCAATCTAAATCATTCCCTTATTGGCTGTGCTGGGCATCAGCTTAGGAGCTGGGGAATGAGACATTTCACTCTCATATTTTGAGGCTCTCTCCACAGACCTACAAGAATCCCTGGAAAATACAGCGAAAGGCTTTGTAAAAATTCAAGACCAGCTAGACTCCCCAACTAGAGTAGTCCTCCAAAACCAGAGAAGACTCGGCCTCCTTACAGCAGAGAAGGGAGGTCTCTGCTTCTCTCTAGGGGAAGAATGCTGCTTTTATCTCAACCAGTCAGGCTTGATAAGGGATGCAGCCTCAAAACTGAATGAAAAAAACTCAAAGAATTAGGGAGCAACAAAAAAACCAAATTAGTTCCTGGTTAAATGGTAAATTATTAACCCGAATTCTCCCCTTCATAGGCCTTCTAATAATAATCGGCCTGGAATTATTGTTTTACCATGTTTAGTAACCCTCTCCCAAAAGTTCCTTACCAACAGGATCACAGCCATCTCACAAGCCGCCACCCAGGAACACCTGAAAACGGTGGAGGAACACCTGAAAACTCCTCCAGTCAATCCGGAACCAACAATCTCACAGCCCCCTTTCAGCAGGAAGTACCCATAAAAGCATGCTGGCCCATCTCCTTATCTAACCACAGAGTCCAGATTGATAGGACAAGAGTACCGTCATCTTTGTAACACCCCACCATCTTAAGCCACCTGGCCAAAACTGCAAATGTCAGCCCTGCCCATAGCTTCAACAGAGCATAATGGCGCTAACCATAACAAACCAGCCAGCACTTTCCCAACCCCTTACTAATAAAATTTTGCTTCAAAGCACACTTCTCCACCAGGCCCTTTAAAAAAGCCTCAGGCAGTAAGAGAATTTTGCTCCTGACCCTGCTGGCCAAAAGCCCTTCTCAGATTTACTCTCAATAAACCTGTCTCAACTGTTAAGCCATCTTCTGCCTGTTCTTTCCTTAATCTTTCTATCCAAACAATATCTATCAATTTTATACTTTCTCTCAAGTTGCACTTGAATCTAGAACACTCTTCACCCTCCCTTCCCAACAGTGCTGCTTTTTTCTTGACTGACAATATCTTGACAATATCTCTTCATTTCTCAGACATACAGTGGTTCCAGTCTGGGTGATAACTATATACTAAGTCTAGTAGTTTTGGAACCTTGATTATTATTATGTGTCTTAAAGAGAACTTTCATTTCCCTTCTTTCTGTCTGCTGAGTGGCATATTCATTTATTTACTGTAGCTATTTCTTGGCCTCTCTATGCTGTGAGTTAGTATTTGAAGCTGTGATTTCCCATAACCTAAGGCATCTCAACAATGCCATGTTAATATTATCCTACTTGTTCCAGGTATCTCCCCAAAGCCATGTTGCTGTAACTTTGTCTTCCATTTTACTACTAATTAAGGTGAGATAACTATGCTGCCTTCCTCTAGTCATAGCAGATGATTTCAAAACTAATTGAATTTAATCCTGTCATTTCCGCACATTCAAAGAGAATGGTACATTGACTACTTTCCACTCCATTTTGTTGTTTTGAACCAGTTATTATGATGAAAAGGGCTTTCCCAAATGTTCCCTAATTTGGTTTTCCAGAAGCCAAAACATGCATGCTAACCTGATTTTTTTTTTCTCATTAGCTACCTGCAGATACCTAAAAACAGTAAGAACACGTAATGTTCACAGGATAAATTCTGAAACCCTTTGACTGTCGGTACATACCCTCCTCAACCGTGTGCTCAGGATTCACTTCTATCATTATGTCTCATTTCTTCCAAGTGTGACCACTTTGTTCCACCAGGCTTTATCTCCTGCTCACACACATGCCTTGCCTACATTGTTCTGCCACCTCTACTCCTATTAGAAATGCATAGTTCTCATACAACCCAAGCCACTATTTGAGGTACAACTCACATGCCATCACTGCCCTGAAGCCACCCTGCTCTTACTGAATAATAACCCAATTCACTCACACATAATGTATCTTACTGTCAGATTTTATCTCTGTGTTGACTTCCTTGTAGTTTTAGGCTATTGCCTTCCCTTTATCTATCAGTTTATCTATCAGTATGAAGATATAAACTAAGCACTGATACATGTTGTGTTCTAATTATTTGTAGGGACAATGGCTCTAAAATAAAGCCTGCCACCAAATTGCATAGCTGAGGATTACTGCACAAATTTTGCAGCTGTGTATTAATCCATGGCAAAAATCCATGGAGAACTAATCATCGAGAGCTAGAGATTATGTCTATGTTAAGCTCTCAATCATCACTCTTGCTTATACCTCTTGAAACACAAATGGATCTCTCTGCCTAAAAAAAGGAAGTAAATTATGTATTAGAAAATAAATATATTTTTCTGCAATAAATCCATGTGAGAACCCCATGCATCTCTAAAGTACTTTTTACTTTCTCGATTGATTTCAAACAAGCAAGCAAACATGTCAAGCCTCGTTTCCTAGGGTGCCATTCATCAGAAATTCAGGGGTTTGGAGGTCAGAGATAGAGAGAGAGCCGTTGTCACGGAATTAGTTCTTCTGCCAGCAACCTGAGAATAAGAGTATCATTGAGTTTGACCCTGATGCCCCCTTGGGGATTGAAAAAGGAAATTGTCTATAACATAAAAGACTATTCAGTATATGCCTAATACTGGGAATATGGCATTTCTAAACTCTGGTGACTTATAAAATGTTGAGCAGAATATTGGAACTATCTAGTTAACTAAACAAACTCATAAATCCATAAGATTAAATATTTTCATGGGATATACATGGAGGGTGAGGAGCAAAGAGGCTCAAACAGGGTAGGTACTTGGGGATTAATTAGACTATATTTTTTTTAAGTTTGGCTGCATGCCTGTCAATATGTGGCAAGAATGTAGTTGCTGTTCTTTGGGCTACCTCAAACATCAAATAAAAACTAAAATGTTGAGTTCAAAAACTATATGGTATCAAAAAGCTAGTTTCACAAAGATAATAAACATCCAGAATTCTTTTTAATATTGTAGTAATTTATTTTTATAATACTTTCAGTTTAAACATTATCAATGAAATTGTATCAATTAGGACTCATTTATTGGTGAATCCAGAAAACTAAAACCAAACTCGATTTCAGGACCAAGGGATATGCTAACTTCTGATGTGGTCAATCAGGGGCTTTATCAAAATAACTCAGTTGTCCTCCCTCTCTCCCATCATCTTTCCCCCATTTTTTGTTTTATTATTAATAAGGGTCTCTTCTCTTTGTCACAAGCAGATCTTTGCTGCTCCAGAACTGCATTCTCACTGCTCCACATCCAACTTGTTCATTCTGATTGGCTTAACGTAGGTAATGTACCTATCTTTGAACCAACCACTGTGGTCTGACAGAAGAATGTACAGCTGGTGTGATCCTTAATTCACATCTGCTCTGGAGATGACTTATATTTGACATCATTCTATATACATGGGTTATATGAATGAGACCCAAACCAAAAACTAAGTTCTACTACCAGAAGAACCTTATTTTCTAAGTGGAAAATAAATAAACGCTCTAAGAAAATATCAAATTATTTATTCTAAATAAACATTATTTCTTATAAAAATTTCTCTCCGAAACACTCTACAGCACAACAGTTCCTCCAAATAGATAAATACATATCTAGAGAGAACAATGCCAGCTAGAGTAAGCCTGAACTATGATCCCTAAAAATGTGATACATTTAAAGGTTAATTTAAAAAATTAAAAATAAAAAAAAAACTGGAAGCATCCTTGTCTTTTGCTAAAATCGACATACCTTCATTAATTCATACCAGAGCTTGCTTTAATAATTATGAAAAATCATTGAAGTAAGATAACAATATATAAACAAACATGTTTATATATCATTCATTAGAATAATAGATTGAGCACTGAAAACTATCAAATAAAACCCTTTCCATGTAGGCTTGACTAAGCAGAATGTATTTAAAATTTAATGAAAAAAATAAAAACAGCTTCCAATAATCTAACAAATTTTTCCTGGCTAACTGCAGCCAATGTTGCTGCAGTCCAGGAGCCACATTATCTAGTCTGTACATTGTTGACCTCATTCCCTAAATTATTTCAACCAATATAACATTAATAACTGCAAAGGTGACTTAATATCCTTAAAGGAAGAGAAGTGTTTGGGTATATGAGAAAGAGGATATTAAACAGATAAAGAGCAGAGAAACAGGAAGTAAAGTTGTTTGTAATCGACAGCTGTAATATAACATATCATTAACACATTCTGCACACCCCATACGTCATTAGCTGAAACTTGAAACTAAATTATCCCACAGATTTGCTGAAGACTTGTCATTTCTTAGTGCTAGCTAACCATAATTAAATTATAACTTTGGAAATTATTATAAAGCTTTTAGACATAAAGACAGGCATGGAGGATAATACAAGGAACAATAATGTACCCTCAGCCAGGGAAATAAAGTTTGAGCCCCTGTATATCCCTTCTCATATCCTTCTGACTATGTCTTCCTTACTTATTAAAAACAACAACAACAACAAAAACAACAACAACAACAACAAAAACAGGCTCAGCGCGGTGGCTCACGCCTGTAATCCCAGCACTTTGGGAAGCCGAGGCAGGCGGATCAACTGAGGTTAGGAGTTTGAGACATGCCTGGACAACATGGTGAAACCCCGTCTCTACTAAAAATATGAAAATTAGCCAGCCATAGTGGCAGGCGCCTGCAATCCCAGCTACTCTGGAGGCTGAGACAAGAGAATCACTTGAACCTGGGAGTGGAGGTTGCAGTGAGTCAAAATCGTGCCATTGCACTCCAGCCTGGTTGACGAGAGTGAAACTCCATCTCACACAAACAAACAAAAAACCAAAATAAAAAAAAACCCAAAAACCTTCTAACTCAGCTAGAAAATAATTGAAAAGAAAATAAATTATTCAAATGAATTATTTCAAATATTGGGTTTACTGTGATGATAGTCACTTCAGCCTCTCACATACACATACATAAACATGAAAGAAAGGAAAAATTCAGGGTCATTTTATTTATATTTCCTTAGCATAGTCTCTTCCCCCAATCACGTTTGTCAATTTGTGATAGCTATGACACTTATTAAGCAACTTACTGATTTCTATCTTTTAATCTTTACAACATCTCCATGAGGTAGACATTATTATAACCATTTGAAAGATAAGGAAAATTAAGAATCAGCCAATGTAACTACCACAAGCTGTATAGAAACAAAATGGTGAAGCTGAGATTTGACCTTGGTTCAGTTGCCCCAGACCAAAGCTTTAAACCATATAATTTCTTTTTGTGTGTTTGTTTCTCTATCACAGGTTATTACTTTTAATATTTCACATAAGCTTTTAACGTCACTAAGCATTTCATCTCCACTCTTCTTTCAAGATAACTTGTTTTAGGTATTCATTGTGACATCAGCTATCACTCTTATTGTTATCCTGTTAAAAAACATGTCTTTTATTCTCTAGCTGCCTTCACAACTTAAAAAATATATTTGGTTTTCAGTAATTTAACTATGATGTACTTATATGTGATTTTATATACCTGGACACTGACACCCAGAAAAATAAAAATTTGCCTCATACCAAGCCAGTCTTTCTCAGAGTCAGGATTTAATCTCTGGTCTGGCCTTCTTTCCTGTGTTCCACACAAACTTTGGACATCAGAGAATACTTCCTCTGCCTCCTTCCTTCATCTGTTCTTATTCTGAAAAAAATATTCTTAGCAACAGACAACTTAGGCAATTGTTTTTCTGTCATTACTGACAATCAGCAAAAAGCAGTTTCTGTGTTGAGAGCTTTCTAGGACTGATGACTTAGTTTCCTCAATAACAACAACAAAATGACAGGAAAAACAGAGAGAAAGGAAAAGGGAAGTGTAACTAGCAAGTGAAAAAAAGACAAGCAACATTTCAACCAGTGGGAATATATAGACTTCATTTGAATTTTCAAATATTTTTGAATGCATATTGAATATATTGAATATATCATATACTTATATAATGGCAAATATATGTCATGTATTTATTATACATAAATATATAACTATATATATGATAACCTGGGAAATGTGAAGTGACTAGACATTTAGTTAAAAAAGAAATTAATTGAAGCAGCATGTGAATACTATTGTGATATATATATATATATATATATATATATATATATATATATATATATATATATGGTCTCACTCTGTTGCCCAGGCTGGAGTTGAATGGTGTGATCTCGTCTCACTGCAACCTCCACCTCAGGGGTTCAAGTGATTCTCCTGCCTCAGCCTCCCAAGTAACTGGGATTACAGGCATGCGCCACCACACCCAGCTAATTTTTGTATTTTTAGTAGAGATGGGGTTTCGCCATGTTGGCCAGGCTGGTCTCAAACTCCTGACCTCAAGTGATCCACCCACCTCAGCCTCCCAAAGTGTTGGGATTACAGGCATGAGTCACCACACCTGGCCTACTGTGTTGTACTTATTAAGAACCATTATATTTTACAGTTACACACTCAAATATTTATTTCTAAATTTTTTGATGTCTGGAACTCATTTCTTTTTTTTGTTTGTTTGTTTTTTAAGAGATGGGGGTCTCGCTCTGTCACCGAGGCTGGAGTGCAGTGACACAATCATAGCTCACCGTAGCCTTGAACTCCTGTGCTCAAGTGCTCCTCTTGCCTTAGCTTCCTCAGTAGCTAGGAACACAGGTGCAAACCACCATGCCTGGCTAGCTTTTATTTTTAATTTTTTGTAGAAATGGGGTCTCGCTATGTTGCTCAGGCTCTCACTTTTAAATAATCAAGTGAAAAGGGGTGTGAGTGGAGTTATGGATCAAAAAGAAAAGGATTTGTCATTATTTAGTAACTCTTGAGGCTATAATGGGTTCATGGAGGATCATTATGCAGTCTTGTCTTCTTATATTTATATCTGGAGTTTCTATTAAACAAGATTTTAAGTCTTTCTTAAGCCTATCAAGTTTTCCACTATACACACTAGAGTTCTAACCTAGGCTCAGACTTACTCCATATATCCTTATTTAAATAATATTTTATATGCTGCCATAGGGAAGAACATGGAAATTAATCTGTTCTTTACTGCTCAGTAACATTTGGGAGAAGAAATAAAGTAATACTGAACTAAAATAATGTACATCAACATTTCAGATTCATAAAGATGCATGTTTCTTCCATAATTATATAGTTAACAAAAAATTGCTAACTTTGAAATTACATTTTGAGTGTTTTGTCACTGTTTTGCTTTAATTTTTAGCTTCAGTTAATTTGTAAAATTTTGAGAACCTTAATATATAAAATGTTTAGTAATTTAGTGTCTAGTAATTTGTTTTTCACATCATTAAGATGAAGAATATTTGGGGACACAACTGCTCTAACCGATGGTTTCCAAAAAATATGAGAAATGTAACCATAGCTATTGCTAGTTGAAAAACGGAAGGCTTGGTACATTCTAATAAAAATGACATTAAGGTCAGACATTCTATTCATCTGTGCGTATTCTGAACATTCTTCTTTTATTCTAGTAAGTATGCAAAATGAGGTGTGACTTTGCAAAGCTTTCCTTTTTGCCATCTCCCATCAAAAGAACAAAAGACTATGTGGGGAAGAAATTCCAGCTCACTTTCATGCAGCCAGCTTATTAGTAGACCATGTTGAGCAAAGTTTAAAATTATCTTTTTTAACTTAAAGCTTCTGTTGGACTAGAATAATATGTAAGTTTGAGTGACAGTGGAAAAATATTGTTCTTTTTTTTTCTTTTTTTTTTCCGAGACAGCGTCTTACTCAAGTCGCCGAGGCTGGAGTGCAGTGGTGCGACTTGGCTCACGGCAACCTCTGCCTCCCGGGTTCAAGCAATTCTCCTGCCTCAGCCTCCTGAGTAGCTGGGATTACAGGCATGCGCCACCATGCCTGGCTAATTTTTGTATTTTTAGTAGAGATGGGGTTTCATCACATTGGCCAGGTTGGTCTCAAACTCCTGACCTCAGGTGATCCTCCTGCCTTGGCTTCCCACAGTACTGGGAGTACAGGGCCATAAGCCAGGCCCAAAATATTGTTCTAATATGGTAGAGTAGAATGATTTTTATTCCACTGATATTGTGTCATGGACTGAATTGTGTCCTCCGAAAAAGTTTATATATTGAAGTCCTAACCTCTAGTACTTCAGAATTCAACTACAGAGGAGACAGAGTCATTAAAGAGATAATTAAGTTAAAATGAAGTCACTGGACCCTAATCTAATATGACTGGTGTTTTCACAAGAAAAGAAAATTTGCACACAGACATATACAGAGAGAAGACCATGTGAAGACACAGGGAGAAGATAGTCATCTACCAGTCAAGGAGAGAAGAAACCAATCCTGCTAACACTTTGATCTTGGACTTTCAACCTCCAAAATTGTCAGAAAAAAAAAATCTGCTGTTTAAGCTACCCAGTTGGTGGTATTTCATTATGGAAGCCCTAGCAAACTAATATATGATCTTAAAGAAATAATTGCTGTTTAGTGTTAGAGAAAACATCTAATGTCTGAAAGTAGGTTTCCAAATTACCTCAAATATGTGTGACTATAAGATAAATAAAGTCAATCCTTTTGGTTGAATCCTACTGTAATCCCCCTGGGGCTGCCAATATCATGTGTTGATAGTTGGTGTATTAGGCTATTTTGACTATGGCACCCTTATTTCTCACCAGTTGATTCCCATAAGCATGTGGTAAGCCACTCACCATTGTTAGATGCTGTGGATGTACATAACCGCAGCTCCCACTCTTGCTGTTAGCCAGGTAAAGCCATAAAGGAGATGAACTGAGTGGAGAAAACCTAAAACCCCTGTTTCATTTTCACTGTTTGTGAATTACCAAGAAGTGAGGTTGTAAATAGTCATAGTGTAATAGTAATTACCACTGTTTGTGAATTACCAGGAAGTGAGGTTGTAAAGTCTAACAGTGTAAATAGGGACAGACTATAATAGAAATGGTGAGCCACTGAAATCAGAAAACTTTTTTTCTTTTGAATTGACAATAAATAACAGGTTTACTTACCAATGTTTTTAACCATGTTTGCGCAGTGGACACATATAAGCAGATATACTACAATATAGTATACTGTTTAAGGTCCCAAGCTCTGAAGCCAGAGTGCCTGGGATTGTGTCTTGACTCTGTGATTTAACAACGTGGAAGTTACTAGAAACTCTCTTATCATATTTTCTTCCCCTTGAGATGAGACTCACATGTACCTGATAAAGGTTTCAGGGAAGGTTAATTTGGTCTATGCATATAAAGTGCTTAGAGCAATATCAGACAAACAGTGAGAAAATTAATAAATGCTTGTTCTTATTATCATCAAATGTGAAGAAACATTAGGGGTCCCAACACACGACCTGATCAAACTACTGAATGTATATTACTAAGGAGCTTCTCATACGGAATGTATATTACCAAGGAGTTTCTCAAAATAATAATAAAAACTAATTTATTAAGAAGAAATACATCAAGTCTTTTAGCTTTCTTACATTTCAGGTAACTCAGTTTTACTAAACATAATTGATTCTACTCATTAAATCCTCACTCATTATATTCTCCACATCCACGCTTACTATTGTCCCAATATATTTCTATTCTAAAGACATATTTCTGCTCACTATAGCATTAATATTATTAACAACAATAGTTGTCATTTATGACATAATTAAAATATGAAAGATGCTAAAATAAGCTCTAAACATTAATTGGTGTCCTGTGAGATAATTACAAATAATACCCCATTTTACAGATTTGGAAACTGAGTCCAGAGTTCAAATAACTTGTTTGAACTCAACTTGTAAGTAGTAGAGTTAGTGTTTGAACCAGGTATCCAGATGCCAGAGCCAGTTCACATTCACTACTTTATCATATGAAATCTACAATACATTTTCCCCCCACTAAACATTCTTTGGAATTTTCTCTGCCCCGGCAAGTTTATAAGATGCAGTAACTCCCACACAACACCATTTGCAAGAAGACTTAAATGTTGGTATTAAATATAAGTTCTGGTGTGCTAATTATGTAATTTTATGGCACAGAGCAGTTTACAATGATTGCACAACTGAAACACATTCTAATAAATACATTTCACAGCCATTCATATGCACTTATAAATTAAAATATCAATATCTTATTTAATTAGGGGTTATCAGTTAATTTTATTCCTAGGGAATATTTCAGGTGATATCTCATTTTTAAAAAGTATTTGATATTTCTTTGTAAAATGCTACCTTCCCCACAGGCCTCCTTTGTGCTTCTATTTCTTGGCCTCTAAGAAATTTTTGCTTTCTTTCTTGGAGTTGCACCAAGGACTTTAAAAAATAAAAATAAAAAACACATTTCTCTCTCTCTGCTTGCAGGTTTAACATTCTGATGACTTTTATAGCTTTTATTTAAGCTGTGAAATTATGAATTCTCATTATGCATGCTCCTGGCTCTTCTGTATTATTTAGGTGGGAATAGTGGCAGACCCCATGGGTGGAATCTATTTTAATTCTATCTTCTGTAATTTGTCTGCTACACCTCTGAAAGTAGGTCTAGGGAAAAAAATGCAAGCAGGTGTCTCCCTTCAATCCCCTCTGGCACACTAACTTTGTGGATGTTGACTTCACTATTCTGTTTTCTGTGACCAATATTCTTTTTAATTCAGAGCCTCCACCCCTTTTCCCTTGCAATTCATCTTCTAAACTGCCTCCAAATGCTTTTTGATTACTAACTCTAAACTTGAGTTACTTAGCTGAATTTTGATAGTCTGGGTGGAGGAGATAGTTAGTGAAAAGGGTCAGGCTTATATCCTTTAAAATTGTTTTATATATAGTATAAATATATATCATACATACATTATTATATAAGAATAATGAATTATACATATAATATAATAAATAATTATCTGTTACATAGTCCCCTTAAGGTGGACTATTTTGCCTGTGTATTTGCCTTGAAAGCTGATGAATAATCTCTCTACAGAGGCAAATCCTGGGGATAAACTAGCGAATGGGACTCATCAAGATGTTTGTAATGGATAGTACGGTCACACAGTTAGGCCAGACACCTCCTTCTTTATCCCTGACATTTATTTCCCTAGTGGCTATTGATCACTCAAAGATGAGTCGCTCCCTGAAATGGCTTTTATCCGATAAAAGCTCTCTCACTCAATATAATGCCATTTTCCCAAGGGCAGCCCAGATCCAACAACTGGTTAAGGGAGCCGGGGCAATGTTTGGGTCATTTATTTCAACTCACTACAACTCTAAAGGAGTATGGTAGCCCCACAGGCCCATGCATGATTGGCTGAGGCCTCTATGGGAACTGGACTGCAGTTCAAATTCTCCCTTCACCCAGTTCTTCTTTCCTTAACTACTTATAGGTACCATTTCTCAGTTACACACCAATAAGCCTCCTGCCTGCAAATTGTCAGTTCAGTCTGTTTCCAAAAAACTGGCCTAAGATGATGTTGAAATGAATCCTTGCAGACTACATTTAATTCTGTAAATCCTCCCTCGTATTTCTTTTTTCAACTAAGTTATTTATACAATTGCCTTCTGTATGAGTCAATTCTCACATTGTTATAAGAAAATGCCCGAGACAGGGTAATTTATAAAGAAAAGAGGTTTAATTGACTCACAGTTCCGCATGGCTGGGGAGGCCTCAGGAAACTTACAATCACTGTGGAAGACACCTTTTCACAGGGCGGCAGGAGAGAGAATGAGTGCCAGCAGGGGAAATGCCAGACACTTATATAAACATCGGATCTCGAGAACTCATTGACGAGAACATCATAGGGGAAACTGCCCCATAATTCAATTACCTCCCACCACATTCTTCCCATGACATGTGAGGATTATGGGGATTAAAATTCAAGATGATAATTAGGTGGGAACACAGCCAAACCATATCACCTTCCTCTTCTAATCCCACTCCCCTTACTTTCTCTAAGTTAAATCAGCCACCATGTAGTAGGGAGAATTCCGTTTATTGGAGTTAACTTGTTTAATGATGATTGATGCTAGTATAATCTAATAAAATTTAAAAAATGGACAAGTTAATCTCTTCTCTGTCTCTTTTTCTCTCTCTCTTTATCTGAAACTTACACACATTTTCTCTTCCTCATGAGCCATGTCACTGAGAAAAGTAAAGGTATTATTAGTTGCAATTTATTGGCAGTGAATATCTCTTAATTGAGGATATACTTCTTCTTGTCTCCCTCTAGACTCCACACTGTAAGAGGCTAATGATTTCATACAATATCCTAATTCCAAGTAAATATTAGATAATTGAATAATTTGCTATGGATAAATGAATGATCTAAAACTTTTAAATTTCATTTAACAAAGCTAGAAACAGTAATTATATTCCCACCTTAAAAGTCTATATAACAGATCATTATATTTTATGTATAATTTATTATACATATATAATTATGTATATGTAAAATATATACTATATATATATATAAATTATTATTTTAAAGGATATAAACCTAACTCCTTCCAAGTAGCCTAGGGCCTATCTTTGCTATTTCATGCTAAGACAGTGATTGATACTTGATGGCCCCAGTTCACTCATGCTAATTTGTCTTTTCAGGAGCTAGCCCTGATCAATTTTCCCAAATATTTTACACATTTACTCTCTTGTGACAAACACAGCCGTAATTAACATTCTGCTTTTAATTGCATAAAAAATAATCACCTTCTGCTTTTGCTGAAGTATTAACATCCAGCATTCCTTCTAGCCTACTTCAGGAGCTTATCATGGTATTCACATGTGGTCCCCTTCCTAGGACCTTATTAGCAAAGGTAATTATATTCTTACATGCTTACCTTGCAGATTCCCTTGCAAGCAAGTGAGTAAAGCTACGAGGTGTGTGACCCCTCTATTCACTGAAGGGCATTGTGCATTACAGAGAGCACAGCTCCAATAGAAACCCACGTGGGAAGGCAACAGGAAGAGAATCCCATCAGCTTCCTGAACCTTACAGATCTTTACAGTAGGGTGGTGGTGGTCACAGAGAAACCATTTTAACATGCTAGAACATCTTCTATTGTCCCAACATTATTTTTAAACTTTGCCTTTCTCTGTTTCACTTAAAATGATTTGCTTATTTATTTAACAGTCTTCCTTCTCACACAGGATTTTTTTCTTTTTCTTTTTTTTGGGCAGATATTTTAAATAAACTAAAAACTTCCTGCTTGCTCACTTCCACTTACAGGTGGCTCTGTGGCAGGTCATCCATCTTTTCTCCCTTCTGATCTGAAAGCAACCAGTAACAAACAATTCTTGCTAAAGTGGGTCACTTTAAACAATTTAATATATATTTATTGAAATAAGCCCTAATACCATTTTACAGTTTACTTTCCTGCATTAATAAGGTCATTTAGGAAAACTACTTTTTCGGTCACACTAGCACACATTAGGGCATGGTTGATCACAATCATAATAACTGACTTGTGAGAGGAAACCCAAGAATTTTTGATTAGGACAACATCTGTCAGTGAATTCTATTAGACTCACTGATTTTCTAAGAGATAATTTCTAACAACCATGTGTGAAATACACACACACATACACACACACAAACACACACACATGCTACTGCATTTATATACAACACATATTTAACTTCCTTGACAGCTATAGCTGATGGAGTTGGCAGTCGACTAAAATCCTGAAGTCTTTTTCACACAAATTGCTGTCAAGATCTTTTCTAATATTGATTGTTATGCAGCACATTAGCTATTTCTCTCAGCTTTTTGTTATCTAAAAATTTTATAAGCATATATTTTTGTCTTTATCCAAGTCAGTGATACAAATCTTAGAGAGGACAAGGCTTAAGACAGAATCCTGTGTGATGACTCTTGGGAAATCATCATTCAATCATTTGAATCTACTCTCATCCAACTCTGTCAATACTTGATTTTTCTGACATCTGGCCTACATTTGTCCAACTGGTAAACAAATAAATCATGAAAGATTTTAACACACTGCTAAAATCCAAATAAGCTTTATCTGTGACTTTCCTATGCTTGGCCAATCTAATTAGATATCACCTGATTAAAACAGCCAATGTAGTTAGGTTGTCTTCCTATATTGATTCTTCATCTATGCTAATTCCTAGTCATGATATCTTATCTTTTCAGTCTTGCAACCCAACACTACTTGTTTAGTTTTACAAATAATTCTTGAGCACCTACTATGTATTATGTGTTACATTTATTATGTGCTATGTATTATGTTCCCCAGTTATAAGAGATCTACTCTGTAACTCCAGCTCTCAATAAGCTTACCATATGCTCTAAAGTACATTATAGAGTATTTCTAGAATCTGATATCAAGCTTACATATTTGTAGTTCCTGACGTTGTTTCTTTGAAAAATTGGGATCATGTTTGATGATCTGTGATGATCACAGCTATTCTGGCACTTATTTTCTATAATAGCTCAAAAATTATTAAGGGTGATATGGACGATATACTAGTTACTTCAGTACCTTAGCATGTATTTCAACTGGAACTGAAGCCTTAAGTTCATCTATAATGATTCTTACTATTTATTCTGTGTCAAAGGTTCCCAAGACAATTCTCAGGCTTGAAGATTTGCTAGAAGGACTCAGATACTCAGAAAAACTGCTATATTCATAGTTATAGATTATTATATAACTTTGCAGATGCAGATTGAAATCAGCAAAGGAATAAGTCACGTGGTCTAAAGTTCAGGAGGAAGCAGGCACACGCTTTCATGCATTCTCTCCCAATGGAGTCACACAGAGACACAGTTAATTCTTCCAGCAATGATATGTGATAACACATTAAAAATGGTGCCAGCCAAGGATGCTCACCCAAGTCTTTGTGTCCAGGGTGTTTACTGGGGGAAAATCATGTAGACGTACACTGCCTGTGTGACAGACTTTGGCTACTGAGATTCTACCACTCCCAAAGCATAAACAAGCATTAACCATAAATTGCATTGTTAGGGTAAACTTATCTGATCAAACAAATACAGCATGGCCCAAGGCCTCAAGAATATAAACATACTCTTATCAGGCCAAATAGTCTAAGCTATCAGAGGTTATCTTCTAGAAGCCTGCTTCAGACCCGTCCTGAAGACAGATCTTTATTTGGAAAATCTGAGGATTTGAGCAATCCAGGCCTGCTGAATTAGCTTTCCCTGCACAGTTCCCCCTATGTTTTAAATTCTATATTAATCATGTGTTTTTCTAGTGTTTTATACCTTGAAATATATTCTCTTTTCTTGATTATATGAAAGCAAAATCAACATAGAGTACTATATTCTCCAAGATTCTTTAAGATTATACATTTCCACTGTTTCCTCTTGAAATACATTAAAGAGATTCCTTTTAGTTTAAAAATCAGATTTTGTTGTTATAATGAAATGTAATCCTTAGTGTGGGCTATAAGTAATTGTTCCTTGATTTTTTCTTGTAATGTGTATCAGTCTTTTTACTGTTTTCACACATATCTTCTTTTTCCTGTGCGTTTCCTTCCTCCATTAGTGACCATATGTCTGGAGAGTCATAAACTGGAGATTTTAGATAAATTGTAAAAAGTAAAGAAAGGCTTTCCACCACTGGCAAAGAAAAAAATTATAATAGCTGAGAGCTAGTTGGCTCAAATCCCTGAAAATTGCCTTACCAAAAAAATCAGAATGCTAAATTTTTAAATAAATTATATTGAATTAACTATCACTCTATTAGTTACCTACAGCTGCACAGTAAATTACTTAAAAACATAGCATTTTAAAACAGTAAACACTTATTATCTTACTTTTCCTGAGTTTCAGAAATGTAGGCACAGTGTCCTCTGGCACAGGATCTTTCACAAAGCAGCAAACAAGGTGTCACTGAAACCTGTAGTCATTTCAAGCAATGATATGTGACAACACATTAAAAATGGTGTCAGCCAAGGATGCTCACCTAAGCCTTTGTGTCCAGAGTGTTTATTGGGGGACAATCATGTAGACATACACTGCCTGTGTGACAGACTTCAGCTACTCAGATTCTTTTCTACTAGAGAAGAAAATAAAGACTATATATGACAGACTCATTGCTAACATTTTACTCAATGGTGAAAAGTTTGAAGCTTTCATCTTAGATAGGCAAGGACACCCACTCTCAACAGGAAAAAGAAGGTGTTTGTGAAAACTGTAAAAAGACCGATACATATTACAATAAATAATCAAGAAAAAATTACTTATAGCCCATGCTAAAGATTGTGTTTTATTATAACAACAAAATCTAAATTTTAAACTAAAAGGAAATTCTTTGATGTATTTCAAGAGGAAATAGTGGGAAAGAATTCACTTCAAACTCATTTAAGTCATTAGTTGTATTCAGTTTATTGTACGCTGTTGACTGGAGGTTTCCCTCAGTTCTTTGCCACCTGGGTTTCTCCATAGGGCTTCTTGCAATATGTCAATTGTCAAGACACAGTCTTGTTGATAAAAACCTTTAAGAAATTAGTTATAGAAGAAATGTTCATCAACAAAATAAAGACTGTATATGACAGACTCATTGCTAACATCATACTCAATGGTGAAAAGTTTAAAGCTTTCATCTTAGATAGGCAAGGACACCCCCTCTCAACACTTCTGTTCAACATAGAACTGGAAGTCCTAGCTAGAGCATTCAGGCAGGGCAAAAAAATAAAAGGCATCCAATTTGGAAAGAAAAATGTTAAATTGTCCCCATTTGCAGATGACATAATTTTATATATGGAAACATCCTAAAAACTCCACCAAAAAAAACCCTATTAGAACTAATAAAGAAATTCATTCAGTAAAGTTGCAGGATACAAGATTAACATACAAAATTTAGTAACTTTTTATTCATTCACAATGAACTATCAGAAAAAGAGATTAAGAAAACAATGTTATTTACAGTAGCTACTGCTATGGTAGGAGATTTTTCCCAACCAAACTTCATTTTCAAATGTTATCCCTAATGTGGTGGCGTTTGGAGGTAGTGCCTAGGAGATGCTTGGGTTATGGGGGTGAATCCCTCAAGAATGGCTTGGTGTCATTCTCATGGTAGTGAGTGAGAGAGTGAATTTGTTCTTGAGGGAATAGATTAGTTCCCATGAGAGTGGATTGTTATAAGGCCAGGGTACCCCCTTGGAGTTTTCCTCTTTACATGTGTCCACTTCCCCATTGACCTTCTCTATCATGTTATAACACAGCATGAAAAGGCTTCGTCAAAAGCTAAGCAGACGCTGGTGTCATGCTTCTTGTACTTCTCAGCCTGCAGAACCATGAGCTAAATAAACGTATTTTCTTTGTAAATGACCCAGCCTCAGGTATTCTTTTATAGCAACACTAAAAGATCTATGACAGCCACACATGCACACACACAGACACATACACAAATATTTAGGAATAAATTTAACAAAGGAGGTGAAAGATCAATACACTGAGAACTGTAACACATTGATGAAAGAAAATGAAGAAGACACAAACAAATGGAAAGGTATCCCATGTTCATGGATTGGAAGAATTTATATTGCTAAAATGTCCATAATACCCAAAGTGATTTATAGAGTCAATGAAATTTCTACCAAAATTTCAGTATTTTTCACAGAAGTATAAAATCCTAAAATTTGTATAAAACCAAAAAAGACCCCAAATAGCAAAAGCAATCTCAAGCTAAAAGAACAAAGTCAGACATATCACACTACCTGATTTCAAAACATACTACAAAGGTATAATAACCAAAATATCATAGTACTGACATAAACACAGATACAAAGCTAAATGGAGAAGAATAGAGAGCCCAGCAATAAACTCAATATAATTATGGTCAATTGATTTTTGACAAAGATGCCAAGAAGACACAATGGGAAAAGGACAGTCTCTTCAACAAGTGATTCTGGGACAACCAGATATCCACATGCAGAAGAATGTAATTAGACCCTTCCTCACACCATATACAAAAATCAGTGCAAAATTAATTAGACATAAATGTAAGACCTGAAACTGTAGAACTGCTAGAATAAAACATAAGAAAAAACATCCATGACACTGACCTAGGCAATAATTATTTTGGATATAGCCCCAAAAGCACAGGCAACAAAAGCAAAACTAGACAAATAAGATTACATCAAACTAAAAAGTTTCTGCACATCAAAGGAAACAATTCTAATATTTTTGGAATCCACAAAGAGACAACCCACAGAATAAAAGAATATATTTGTACACTATACATCTGATAAGTCATTAATAATATCTAAAATATATAAGAAACACAAATAGCAATAAAACAAGTAACCTGATTTAAAAAATGGGCAAACGTCCTGAATAGACATTTCTCAAAAGGAAACATACAAACTTCCAACAGGTATATGAAAAAATGCTTAATGTCACTAATCGTTAGGGAAATATAAATTAAAATTACAATGAGATATCATGTTATACCTGTTAAAATGGCTAATATCAAATTGATGAAAGAAAAGTTTGGTAAATTATCTTAGGTAAATTAGTGCAGCCAGTTTGAAAAACAGTATAGAGGTTCCACAAAAGGTTAAAAATAGAACTACAATATGATTCGGTAATCCCACTAATAGGCATATAACCAAAGAAAGTGAAATCAGATGTTGAGGAAATGTCTGCACTGCCATGTTTACTATGGCATTATTTACAATTGCCAAGTTATGGAATCAACCTAAGTTTCTATCAAAAGATAAATGAATAAAGAAAATGTGTTATGTACACCCAATGGAATACTATTCAGCCTTAAAAAATAAGTAAATCCTGTTATTTGAGTCAGCATGAAAGAACCTAGAAGACATTATCTTAAGTGAAATAAGCCAGGCACAGAAAGGCATATACTACATGATCTCATTTACATGTGGATCTTATAGAATCAGAGAGTAAAATGGTGGTTACCAGAGTATAGGAAGTATAGCAACTGGGGAGATGTTGGTCAAAGGACACAAAATTTCAGTTAGACAGGATAAATAAGTTAAAGAGACCTATTGTTCATCATGGTGACTATAGTGAATAAAAATGTATACTTGAAAAATGGTAAGATAGTAGCATTTGTTTTCTCACCAGAAAAAGTGATAAATATGTGAGGCAGTACATATGATAAATAGTTTGATTTAGCCACTCCATAATGTATACATATTTCAAAGCATCATGCTATATACCATGAATATATATAATTTTTACTTGTCAATTAAAAAAATTAGAAGAAGGATCAACAAAGCGAGTCTTTTTGGAATATTATCTTTGAAGTGGCATTCCACCACTTTGGTCATAGACAATTTATTGGCAGCAAATCATTAAGTGTATGTAACTGTGAATGGGAGAATATTACACAAGACCACAAACACAGGAAGATGTGGACCACTAGTAGCCATCTTATAAAATGCTAAGCCTACCACAGTCATCTATAACATACTACATAAAATACTACCTGTCTTATTTGAGTAAATATCCATAATTCTCAACTGATATTTTTCCCAAAATACTTGGCAGTGTCTAGAAAATTCTTTAGATTGTTACAACTGCAGGAGGAGGGGTACTATTGGCATCTAGTTGGTAGAAGCCTGGGATGCTGCTAAACATCCTACATTGCACAAAATAGCCTCTTACAACAAAGAATTATCCATTTCAAAATGTCAATATTGGTGAGGTTGAAAAACTTTGTTAAATATTAGTAAATATTAAAGTTAATAAGTATTAATTCCGTAAAGACTGTATTTCATTTTGCATAACATTATGTTCAAGCCTTAGAACATAATAAGAAAATTAGCATATATAATTACTGATTTGGTTTATTTAATCTGACATACAAGTGTTAAACAAAATGATTATTATAGATCCATCTAGGTAGGAGCCAAGTCATTTCTACTTTATTGAAGACAAAACTACCTACCAGTCTCTGCCTCACAAATATATTAAGTAATGTGCCTAAGGTCAAATAATTAGTGATTAGGTAGTCACTTTAATGAACACCTTCTAAAACATTAACAAATGTTTCTGTAGCAAAACCTGGCTTAAAATTAGAATTGCATAATCCATGCTTGTATCTTTTAAGTCACCTGTATTTTCTCTTTTAATATAGATACTTGAACCACATCCTCAGGCCAATTAAATTAGTCACTATGGAGGGGAGGCGTAACTTTGGTATAGTTGTAAGGGTCAAGTTTAGTGGTTGTAAAAACCACTAAAGCAGAGGTCCTGCAGAAATTATTTAATCAATCCAGGTGACCTGCTAATACTGGATGTGAGGCTGTTGAAATAAAGCTCTTTTTGAGCTGGTACAGATTAACACTATTACAGAAATGTACATATTCTAAAAGTCAATTGCTAAATCTGAGTGATTTATTCCATGGAGTCATCAAACTACAGCCAGTGGGCGAAATCTTTCTCTCTGCTTTTGTAAATAAAGTTTTATTAGAACACCACCATAGTCATTTATTTCTGTATTGTCCATGGCTGCTTTTGAGCTGAAATAGCAGACTTAATCCTTTGCAACAGAGACCACACAGCCCACAAAGCCTTATTTATTGAATATCATTCCCATTATAGGAGTTTGCCAAGATCTTATGGATTCCAATATCACGAATTTATTTTTATTGAACTTAGTCTTAGTATTTATCATTAGTTGTTTATAGTCCCTTTTATAATGGTGCATTTCAACATGAAGAATTGAAGAGGAGACAAAGATACAATAAATTATAAAATAAACAAGGTTTTCTTTTCTGCATTTATGTTACTTTTACATATTATAAAGGTAATAATAGGTTATATATTGGCTAAAGATGATCTCTCCTGAACAATTTTTCATTATTTTAAGGAAAATTGGTAATTCTAGACTGATTTTTTTTTCCATTAAGTGTGTAGAGTCAGTGATTACTCTAAAGATAGAAACATCAATCATTTATTATAACTTACCTAAGGTTACATAGCAATATGAATGTATTCAAGCTGATTCAATTACAGGGAGTCTATTTTTAGAGTCTGAGCTCTAATTCATAAGACAAAATATGCTTCTGGTTACAGAATAGTCTGTTATTTTTAACACTCCATATTCCAAAATTCCTCAAAATCTTAAAGTAGACAATTCATATTCTTGAAGACGGCTAAATACCTCCAAATATAATTAAACTTTTAAAAATATATTTTTTAAAAATCACATGATATGTCTTGCTCTCAAAAATAGACAAATACAGGAGACTTAATGAAGGCACTTTAGGACACAAGTACAGTAAGTTCTGCTATCACACTTGTTTTGAAAACACAAGTTTGTTCCAATGCAATTTATTTATTGGGGAATAATTTGAGAATAATGCCAGTATTACATTTGTTCACATGAAATTTCACCTGCAAGAAATTCAAAGTTCATACAGAAAACTGTATCCAACTGAATTGAACCACATAGGAATATGCAAAATACACACATGCACAACATCTCAACTATCTCTTCTGTCAACTCATTCTGTTCACTGAACATGTTATCCTAAAAGACTGTGATTTGGTAATATTTTGCCTTTGTGACATTCATTCAAAATCCCAAAAATACAAGTGTCCTTGATTGAAAACACCAAGCAGTGCATCAGAAAAGGAAGCTTTAAATATTGAGAAGAAACTTGAAATAATAAAATGTTTTGAAAGAAATGGGAGAGCATGAAACAGTTCTCAAGCAATAGACTTAAAGAAATCCACACTGTGGACCACTAGAGACAATGCTCTAAAGATAATAAAAAAGAAATATTTGATTAGAAAAACTTCATGTGCTGCAAAGTCAATGAAAACAAGGCCCAGAGAATTTAATGTAATGGAAAGATTATTGAGCTTATGCATAGGAGAACAGAGCCAAAAAGTCATAAATATCCTTTCTCATAATCAAATATAAAGCAATATCTGTAAACTAAGACTTTAAATAGAAATTGCCAAAACCTGCAGAAACAGCTCTTTTTAGCACAAGTAGTGGCTGGTTTGGTTATTTTCAAATACCACTAAAATTTTCAAAGCCTTCAGCTGTTAAGCAAAGCCCTGAGTGAAGATTAGAAAACAGTAAAGGTATTTCCAGCAGTGATACAAAAGTTAATTAAAGGTTATATATCATATAAAATTTTCAGTTTTGATAAAATAGATATCCAGTATAAACACATAGCTTAAAAGACTTACATTGTCAATAGCAAGAAAAAACATGCCCCAGGTTTTATGGCTACAAAAGATTACAAACGTGGTAACCTCTTTTCTACCACTTCATGATAACTCACCAGCTTCAATCCATCTGAGGCTTGCTTAGAGAAACAAACGGCAGCCCCTCCACCAAGACAAAGTATAATATTTATTGTAGTATTTATGGTTTTCTTCACCATTTAAAATGTATAAAACTGGGCTATCATTTTCATTATTTTCCTACCTTTTATTTGTATATGTCGCTGATAAAATTTGTGAAGATTTTGTTCCTAACTTTGCATTTGCTAGCAACTATTTGTCTTTATTTCATGATTTTACATAGTGCAATAAATTTTAAGAATGTCTGTGTTTATGATGGCAGAACTGGGTGTAATAGAAAACCATTCAAGTTAGATTGTACAAAAATGAAATTATTTAAGTGACTCTGCATACAACCAAAGACAAGAAGGGTAATTGCAACTCATGAGGCATCTGAATTGGTTTCTAAAAATTTCTGATAAACCAAGAGAGCCTTCTGTGTCATCTTTTCAGGGTCAAATAATCTCTTTTCTCTTTCTTCTGAAAGTCTGTTTATTGTTTAGTTTTTTATAATGACCTATTCATGAGTTTTTTTTAACAAGTACCTGGAAAAGATGACCATTTCTCCACCTCTCAGAGTAGGCAAGCTGCTATGGTTTGAATGTGATCCCCAAAGTTCATGTGTTAGATACTCAATGTTGCAGTATTGGGAGGTGTGGCTTTCAAGAGGTAACCAAGCTATGAGATCTGCACTCTCATGAATGGATTAATGCCCTTACTGTAGGAGTGTTTTTTTTTTTTTTGTTTGTTTTGTTGTTGTTTTTTAATAAAAGGTTGAATTTGGTCTCCTCTTGCTCACTCTCTGCCTCTTTTTCCCCTTCTACGATGTGACGTCTTCTACCATGTGATGATGCAGAAAGAAGGTGCTCATCAGACACAGGCCCCTCAATCTTGAACTTCCCAGCCTCCAAAAGTGAGACAATACATCTTTGTTCACGGTAAGTTACCAAGTCTGCGGTATTCTGTTCTAGCAGCACAAAATAGACTAAGACTATTACACTATTATACTAAGACTATTATAAGGCAGAAGAGATTGACTACTGCGTAACCAAAAGCTCTTTCTCAAATTTTTGTGAGAGATAACCTGCTTAATTAATCTTAGACTGGAAAATACTCCAAACTTGCCAAGAGTTTTATTTTTATTCACATTATCACTACAATGAATTCAATTATTAAATGAGATACTTATGAATAAGTTGTGAAATGCATGTAAAAGATTGAGTGGAGCATTTGAAACTTGAAACACAGTTTTGTTCTTCACAGTAATAATTCTAGGAGTGGTGAACAAGCTTTTTGTTATGTTTTATCTCATTTTGCTTTAAATGAGCCTGCCTCTAGATTTAAAAAGTCATAAAATTTTAGCTAGAGGGCTTCTTGATCATCTAGACAACCATTTAATTCCCACGATTAAAAAACTGAGCCCCATGAGGTTGTGAATTGCCAAAGGCAATGATTGAGTGACATGGTAGCTGAAGTGGCAATGCTAATATTAGCCTCGGTTATGGTTTCTGGAAGCTGGTAACCAGGTAGAACAATGAAAAATAAAAATAAGAAAATGTATCCTGATCTTATTTTAGATTTCTAGCCTTAAAAGACATCAACAATAAGTAATTAAGCATATATTATTGGCTGTTAGAAAAAAATATGAATACTTTCAAGTTTCTGCATGGTGAAGATGTTTGAGCAATAAAAACTGGAACCTGGGTTGAAATACAAGCATGAACTGTTAAAAGATGACAGAATAGAGAGGGAGAGAAATCCAGAAAGATATACCTTCTTGGAGATATATATTTTTATCCCAAAGGGGGAGAAAACCCAGAAAGGTGGATATTTTTTAGTGACTGTAAACAAAAGACAATTATATTATCAATCCTACTGTGGAGATTTATTTTTATTCCAAAGGGCAAGTACCTTTACCCTTTATTTTACCCTTTATTATTTATGGATAATTTCTTTAAGGAGATGATTATTTTCTCCCTCTCTTAGGAAGAAAAAAAATCTGCTTTGTGAGCCATATGATATAAATTTCAAGGTTCACAATTTTTGGTTTCTATCTCTTGATTTGTTTATTGCTATAAGTAATAATATTTTTCCTTGATTCAGAATCCTATATTTGCCTTCAGGGAAATATAAATGTAAATATTCAAAGTGCATCACTGTAGAATACAATGAGGTGATCTCTAGACCTTCTCTGCAGTGAAAAAAAAAAAAACCATAACAGGTGAAAATTATTAAAGCAAAGAAACAAATCATGAACAAAAACTAGGTTAATTCCTAGTAGTCACCTTATAAGAAATACATCTTATAAGAAATAAAAATGAGTCCTTCACAGAGAAAGCGTTTTCATCAGAAAGTAATTTGAATCCACATGAAAGGAAAAAAGCTTTGGTAAAGGTAATTATGTAATTATCAAAGATATAATTACATATATTTAATTATATGTAATTATAATTAAATAATTATAATTATTAATTATAATTATATATTTTTAATATATAAATATATTTATATTTAAATATAAAATATATTTAATTTATATTTAAATATAAAATATATTTAATTATAATTAAATATATTTTACTTCTCTCTGCCCTTAATTGATTTATAAAACAACTATGTATTAAAATATGCATATAATTTATCATAAATAAATATAATATCAGTAACAATAACAGCACAAAATGGGGGAAGAGGGATTAGAATTATATGCAAATAACATTTCTTTTTTTTTTTTTTTTTTGAGATGAAGTCTTGCTCTTGTTGCCCAGGCTGGAGTGCAATGGCACAATCTCGGCTCACTGGAACCTCTGCCTCCCAGGTTCAAGCAATTCTCCTGCCTCAGCCTCCCGAATAGCTGAGATTACAGGCGGCCACCACCACGCTTGGCTAATTTTTTTTTTTTTTTTGTATTTTTAGTAGAGACAGGGTTTCACCATGTTGGCCAGGCTGCTCTCAAACTTCTGACCTCGTGATCTGCCCACCTCGGCCTCCCAAATAACATTTCTATATCTTGCCAGAATTAATTGAGTGCAAATATGAAGCAGATTCTGGTAAATCAAATTGTATACAGCAAGTCCTAGAGCAATGGCTAAAAAAATAACCAAAAAAGTGAAAATTATTAAAGAAATTAAAATGTTACACTAGAAAATATTCACTTAATTTAACAATTAAGTGAAGAATGAATAAAGACATAAAACTTATAGAAAACAAAAGGTAAAATAGTAGGCATAAATTCACATATATCAATAATAATCTAATGTGGATAAATTAATGAAAAGGGATAGATTGTCAGGTAAGCTAAAAAACAACATTTAATTATATGCTGCCTATAGGACACATACTTTAAAATCCAGAAATAATTTAGATTTTAAATATATTTTAGATTGAAATTAAAATGGAAGGAAAAAAAATAAACCATGCAAACAAGCATAAGAAAGCCAGAATGGCTATAATAGTGCCAGACAAAATAGACTGTAAAAGAAAAAAACAATAAAAAAAGTTACCAGCGATAAGAAGAGATGTTGTATAATGACAAAATGACCAAACCATTAAGAAGATATGGTAAGTATAAACCTATACTCACCTAACAACAGAGATCAAAACACATAACCCAAAAACTGACAGAATTTAAGAGAGAAACATTTAATTCAACCATTATAGCTGGAGCTTCACTACCCCATTTTCGGTAATAGATAGAACAACTAAAAAGACAGTCAAGAAGACAATACAAGATTGGCATAATACTATAAACCAACTAGACCTGGTAGATAGCTACAAAACACTTCACCTAACAACAGCAAATACACATGCTTCTCAAGTGCATATAAAACACATAGATTATTGTCACCCTATAAAATAAATCTTAATAAATTTAAAAGTATTGACATCATACAAAGTATGTTCTCTGCCAAAAGGGTAAAAGATCTCTACAAGCAGAACTACAAAACACTGCTAAAATAAACCACAGAAGACACAAACACATGGACAAACACTCCATGCTTATCAATTGGAAGAATCAGTGTCATTAAATTGGTCATACTGCCCAAAGCAATCTACAGATTCAACACTATTCCTATCAATCTACCAATGGCATTTTTCACAGAATTGAAAAAAAAACTATTCTAAAATTTTTATGGAGCCAAAAAAGAACCTGAACAGCCAAAATAATTCTAAGCAAAAATAACAAAGCTAGAAGACTCACATTATCCAATTTTATGCTATAAGGCTACAGTAACCAAAACAGCATGGTACTCGTGTAAAAACAGACATATAGATCAGTGGAACAAAACAGAAAGCCTGAAAATAAAGCCATATACCTACAGCCACCTAGACTTCAATAAAGTTGACAAAAATAAGCAATGGAGAAAGCATTCCTTATTCAATAAATGGTGCTGGGATAGCTCAGTAGTCACATGTAGAAGAACAAAACTGGGCCCCTACCTTTCACCACATACAAAAATTAACTCAAGATGGATTAAAGATTTAAATATAAGATTTCAAACTATAAGAATTCTAGAAGAAAACCTAGGAAACACCATTCAGGACATGGACCTTGGAAAAGAATTTATGACCAAGTCCTCAAATACAATTGCAACAACAATAAACAATTGACAAGTGGGACTTAGTTAAACTAAAGAGCTTCTGCACAGGAAAAAAAAAAAAAAAACTATCAATAAAGTAAACAGACAACCTACAGAATGGGAGAAAATATTCACAAACTATGCATCTAAAAAAGATCTAATATCCAGAATTTATAAGGAACTTAAAAAATTCAATAAGAAAAAAAAACACATAACCGCTTTAAAAAATGATCAAAAGACATGAACGGACACATCTCAAAAGAAGACATACAAATGACCAACAAACATGAAAGAACACTTATTATCCCTAATCATCAGAGAAATGCCAATTAAAGCCATAATGAGATATTATTGCATAACAGTCAGAATGGCTATTATTAAAGTCAAAACAACAGATTCTGGCAAGGCTACAGAAAAAAGGGAACATTTGTACACTGTTGGTAGGAATGTAAATTAATTCAGCCACTGTGGAAAGCAATTTGGAAATTTCTCAAAGAACTTAGAACAGCCGTTTGACTCAGCCTTCTCATTACTGGTTATATATCCAAAAGAAAACAAACCAGTCTGCCAAAAAGACACATGCATTTGTATGTTTATCATAGGACTATTCACAATAGCAAAGATGAGGAATCAACCTAGGTGCCATCAAGGGTGGATTCAATAATGAACATGTAGAACGTAAACACCATGGCATACCATGCAGCCATAAAAATTAACAAAATCATGTCCTTTGCAGCAACACCGATGCAGCTGGAAGCCACTATCTTAAGCGAATTAATGCAGGAACAGAAAACTAGATACTGCATGTTCTCACTTACAAGTTGAAGCTAAACTCAGGTACTTGTGGACATAAAGATGGCAACAATAGATACTAGAGCCTACTAGAGGAGTCGGCAAGGCTTACCAAACTATTGGGTACTATGCTCAGTACATCGATGTGGGGATCATTCATACTCCAAACCTCAGCATCATGCAATATACCCAAGTAACAAACCCACACATGTACCCCTTGGATCTAAAAGTTGAAAAAATAATATGTTCTGTGATCACAATAGAATAAAATGAGAAATCAATGACAAAAATAAATTGTATATATATGTGGAAATTTTAAAACACTCAAATAATAAATGGATCAAAGAAATCAAATTAGAGAAATAGGAAAATACCTTTAGATAAACAAAAATAAAAACTCCAACATACCAAAACTTATAGAGTACAGCTAAAATAGTCCTTAGTGAAAAATGTAAATCTGCAAACGCCTAAACTTAAAAAATAATATGTCATATATGAAAGCTAACTTCCATCTTAAGAAATTGTTAAAAAGAGAGAAAAATGTAACATAAGCAGAAGAAGGAAATAATAAATATTGAGTGGTAATTAATAAAATAGACAATTAAAAGGTTATGGAGAAAATTAATGAAATCAAAATTTGGTTCCTTGGTCAACAAAATTTACAATCCTTTAGCTAGACTGACAAAGAAAAAAGGAGAGGCAATTCAAAATACTAGCACTGAAAGAAGGAACACTGCAGTCATTATGAAAATTAAAATAATTAAAAAGGAATACTATGACCAACTATATGTCAACAAATTAGATAATTTAGATGAAATACACAAGTTTCAGAAAAGACACAAACTACTAAAACTAACTCAAGGAAATCTGAACAGAGCAGTAATAACTGATGAGATGGAATTTGTAATTGTGAAACTTCCCACTAAGGAAAGCCTAATGCTAGCTTACTTAATTGGTAAATTATATTAGTTAAGAAAACATTAATACTAATCCTCATAACCTCGTCCAAAACACAGAAAACAAAGGAACACTTCCTAACTCATTTGATGAGGGTAGTATTACCCTGAAGTCAAACGCATCACAAGAAAATAAAACTATACACCAATAACCTATTATGAATATAGACACAAAAATTCTTTAAAAAATGCTAACAAACAAATCTAGCCAACACATAAAAAGGATTACAGACCACAATCAAATGAGATTTATCACAAGAATTGGTTTAAAATGGAAAATTAACTAATGTAGTCCACCATGTTAATAGAGTAAATAGTAAAACCACATGATTATTCAATAGATACAGAAAAAGCACTTGACTAAATCCAATGCCTACTCATGATTAAAAAAAAAAAAAAAAAACTAAGAAAACTAGAAACAGAGTCTACTTCCTCAACTTGAAAGAGGGTATCTAAGAGAAACTCACAGCTAATATCACACTTAATAGTGAAAAACTAAATGCTTTCAAACTGAGAACCTAAGAACAGGAATAAGACAAGGTTGTCTGTCCTTCTGCCTATTTTATTTAACATTGTACTAGGGGTTCCAGCCCGGACAATTAGGCAAGAAAGTGAAATAGAAGGCATCCAGATTGAAAAGAGAAAAGTAAATGAAATGAGAAAAGTAAAAAAGTCAGGGGAGAAGACAATGGAACATTATTCAATGTGAAAAAGAAATGAACTATGGAGCCATGAAAAGACATAGAGGAAAATTAAGTAAACATAACTTACTATGTGAAAGAAACCAATCTGAAAAGGCTATATACTATGTAATTCCAACTATATAAATCTCTTGAAAAGTCAAAACTATGGCGACAGTAAAACAATCAATGATGACGAGGATGTAGAGTAAAGAGGGATAAATAGGCAGACCACAGAGAACTTTTAGGTTATTGAAATTACCCTGTATATTGTAATGGTGAATACATATCATTATATATTTGTCCAAACCCATAGAATGTACAACCCCAAGTGTGAACCCTACTGTAAACTATAGACTCTGGGGATAATGATGTGTCGATGTAGGTTCAAGTTGCAATAAATGTACCACAAAGTGGAGGATATTGAAAGTGGGGGAAGCCATGTGTGTGTAGGGTCAGGGAGTAAGTAAAATATCTCTGTACCTTCCACCCAATTTTGAAGCAAACCTAAAACTGCTCTAAAAATTATCTTATTTTAAAAAACATGAGCAAAATATTTGAATAGATGCTTCTCCAAAAAGTTATACAAATGGCTAATAACCAGGAGAAAAGATGCTCAACATCATTAGTCATTAGAGAAATGCCAATCAAAACCATAATTAGATACCAGTTTATACCCACTAGGATGACTATTATGAAAAAGATGGATAATAGCAGCTTGTTGTCAAGAAGTCAGTGAAGATATTGGAATCCTCACACATTGTTTGTGGAATGTAAAATGCTGTAACCACTTTGGAAAACAGTTTGGTAGTGCCTTAAATAGTTAAACAGATTTACCATATAACCAGCAATTCCATTTCTAGGTACATATCCAAGATAACCAAAACCATATGTCTGCATAAATACTTGTACATGGTTATTCATTGTAGAATTCATAATTCAAATATCCACGGATAAATAAAAGAATTCATAATTCAAATATCCACGGATAAATAAAATATGATCTATCCATACAATGGTGTTTTATTCAGCCGTATGAAGGAATAAAGTACTGACACACACTATGACATGGATCAACCTTAAAAACATTATACCAAGTGAAAGAATGTTATCACAAAAATCGCTGTTGTGTGATTCCATTAATATAAAATGTATAGAATAGACAATTTATGGAGATAGAAAACACATTAATATTGCCTATAGCTGGGGAATGTAGAAGGAAATAAGGAGTGTCTGTTAATGAATACAGGAGACTAGGTACCAGGAGTTAACTTCAGCCAGTCAAGTGTAATTTCACAGACCACAAGGCTGAGAATAGGGGAAAGGTGGTTCCCAAAAAATAAAACTTCAGTGTGTTTTGTGGCAGGAAAGAGAACTACTAAAGCCAAGCAGGAGTTAGCCAGGCAAATGGAATGGGGGAAATGAAATTGAACAACCTTACAGAGTCTATTTTATGCAGGTCCTG
Source organism: Homo sapiens (assembly GCF_000001405.40). Lineage (NCBI taxonomy): Eukaryota > Metazoa > Chordata > Mammalia > Primates > Hominidae > Homo > Homo sapiens. The sequence goes on along the minus strand of NC_000011.10, from coordinate 104,710,182 downwards.
GTAAGGTATGTTAATTGGCTTAGGTTTTATCCTAAAAAATATTTTCTATAAATAGTTGTCAATATGGAAATGGAGTGTTCACATTTGTATTTCAGATAACTTATTTTGGCTGCTCCTCTTAACTAGTGAATTGCAAGCTTCCCCTTAACATTCTGAAGTCCCACTTGCACTCTTTAAAATCTCCAAGTTATTTTACAATAACTGCTAATAATAGAGGCTGAGTTCAGGCTAAAGATAGAGAAGTAACCATATAGCTGGGAAAGTATAAGCCAGTAAATCAGGGGGCACCCGTGCTTCCAAAGTTACTCAAATAAAATGGAGCATGTTTTCTCCACACAGTGAGATCAATTTATCATTCATCCATCTACTACTTTCCAGATGCTGTCCTAAGCACGGTAAGGATACAAAGATGAAAAGGACACTATTCCCACTTTCAGAAAGTTAATGCACTTGGAGGGGAGAAAAACACATATAACTCTAATAAAATTAGTCTATGAATACTACTAGCAGAGACTTTATGTTTCCATGAGGTTGCAATCTGACCTTGTTCATCAGTGGTCCCTAGTACCTAAATGTTTCCTAGTACATAATAGGCATTTAGCAATTATATTTTTCATGGATGTGTGAGAAGGTGATATAAACTCACGGCAATAGTAGTTTAGAGATGATTACTTCTGGCTATGGAGGCAAAGGTATTTGGGAATAGGTAGTATTTGCCTAGGTGTTGAAATATAGGTATTAGTATTGTTTAGCAAGAGAGGAAGCTAGATGAAGAATGTGTGAGAACCTTCCAGGAAGAAACACCAACAAAATCACAACCAAAGACAAGGTGGCAGGAAAAGAAAATGGTATTTAGTTAACAGAGAATTGAATTGAACTGTCTAGATGAGGACAGATAGAAAGTAGTGGAGAAGGGGCTAGAAAGGTCAAGCGTTGGCTTTTTTTTTTTTTTTTTTTTTTTTGACAAGTTCCTGCTATGTTGCACAGGGTGGAGTACAGTTGCTATTCACACATGTGGTCATAGTGCACTACTTCTGGCCTCAAGTAATCCTCCTGCCACCCTCTGGAGTGGTTGGGGCTACAGGTATGCACCAATGCATCTGGCTATGGGCCTTTTTGTGGGGGAAGGAAGCAGCAATGTACTACCTGGTTAAAATGTTTGAAGAGCTTGAAGGAGATAGGTATGGATCAGGTAGAACAGTATGTTTCCTATTCTGTATTATTCTGGGGGGACAATGGCTGCAGGGGATTGGCACTAGGAATAGAAAACTGAAGAAAGAGCTAAGCTAACCAAATAGAATTATAACCTACAGGAATTATATCATGTTTTCCTTAAACTACAGGTGTTCGTCCCAATAAAAATCAATACTAATTGTTATTTTTCTATAGACCAGACATGCTTTGCAGAAACATTTCTCTATTCCACTAAGTTCTGTAAAAAATCATCACAACAAATAAAAACAAAAAGTGAATAATTGAAAGCCTTTCTCCAAGAATTAATAATACATTAACATGTGAATAAAACATGTTTCTAAAGGAAATATAATTACTTTTATTCTGAGAGAATGACTTAAAGCATTCTCTTTACCTTAAATATTTATGTTAATTTAGCTTATTATCTTACTAAAATATTTTAACAAATTACTCAATGCAGGTTATGTTAATTCTAAAGCTACAGCTGTACAATTTAAATAACTAAAAAAGTTATTGTCACTTATGCTGCTTATAAGTAGGTGTCACCATTTTTAAATGAACACTTTAATCATCATAATTGTGTTAGTAATTTTGCTACTTATTGCCTGAAGCGCTTAAGTTGAAGATAGTTAGCCATGCCTTAGGGGTCTAGTGTAGTGCTATAAAGAGGAAATTAACTGAAAGATTGATTACTAAAAAAAGTCTGGGACTTGCTTATGTATTGAACATAGCAGTAGGTCACAGATATATTTCAAATTTAACTGTCAATTTTCATTAGTTTTAGTCTTCTTTTTGGCTTATAAATTAAATATAATGGTGATGAGATATTTAAAAAATTAATGTCTTATTCAAAATATATTTAAGCTACATCATTGTGGTGCAATTTATATGAGTCCAGTATGGGGATGCTCTGAATTACTGACGCCATGATAATCACTCAGTTATGGAAGAGGGAATACTTCATTTGCCAAAATAAAAAAGGTGACTACAGGCATAATTAGAAATTATTAATTGTTTGGGATAAACAAGTAGCCTAAGGGTGACCCAAAAGCCATTAGGCAAATTTCAAAAGCAATTAGGTGAGGTTATTATTTCACTGAGGTTGTGTAGTCATAGGTGGTATTTCTTAAGGAGTGGCAAGGGATAACAAGACTCAAAATGGCCTTGAAAGAATTTGATAAGAAGGAAACTATTTGAACTGAATCCCAGGTCTTTTTAATTGGTTTCTATGACCAAAGGCCCTAAAATCTGCATTTAGGAAGTTTCTTAATTCCCTAAAACTGGTTCATAGAATCACTACACAAATGCCAGCAACTGTCATTGTTAAAGAGAATTATTTTTAAAATGTCATCTTAAGCTACTTCATTTTGGAGGGGGCAATTCAGGTGAATTTGTTGGGGTACTTTTGAATAAATAAAAATTAAAAATAAGAGACTTAATTCCCCCATTGAGATAAAGAAAGGGACTTCTTCATCCTCATTTTTATTAGAGCATTTACTTTAGAAACCTTATCATTGTAAGTACATTCTCCTCTCTTCGAAATGTACAGAAATTATTTTGAAAACTAGATAGGTCTTTTGTCAACTTTATGACTCAGGAATACCTTTCAGAGCTTGGAAGCCATCTTTTTGAAACGCTGATATGGTTTGGCTCTGTGTCCCCACCCAAATTTCACCTTGAATTGTAATCACCATAATCCCCACCTATCAAGGGCGGGACCAGGTGGAGGTAATTGGCTCATGGGGGTGGTTTTCCGCCATGCTGTTCTCATGATAATGAGTGAGTCTCAGGAGATCTGATGGTTTTATAGCATCTGGCATTTCCCCTGCTTGCACTCACTCCATCCTGCTGCCCTGTGAAGAAGGTGCCTGCTTCTCCTTTGCCTTCCACCATGATTGTATCTTTCCTGAGGCCTCCTCAGCAATGCAGAACTGTGAGCCAATTAAACCTCCTTTTTTTATAAATTACCCAGCATCAGGTATTTCTCCATAACAGCATGAGAACAGACTAATATAAATGTTAACATAAAGGAAGACAGTGCTCCTATCTCCCAGTTTCTGTGGAAGGATAATAATCTAACTTTTGTGGGCACCTTGCTCCAATTTGCAAAGCTAAAGCTATGTTCTATCATAAAGGTATATGGTTTTGATTGTTTGTTTGTCTCTCTCGATATAGCCAATATGCTAACACAGATGGTCACCCCAATTACAAGGTAAAGTTAGGATGAACTGTGTGACAAAAGGTGCTGTCAGTCCTCTTACTTGACAACTAGTTATTGTTCATCTTGAAAAATGTATGTAATGGGTTACTTGATTATATAAGGGGTAGAGATTCCTTTCTGTCTTTGCAATCTCTTAATGGATTTCCTGTGATGTGCATCATATTATGGTGTAATGCTTTTTCAATAATAAAAGTGTTCTCTTTCTCTACTGTCTTTGTGGATAATTTCTGGGTTGAGAGAATATTTTGTTTTTAATTATATTTCTTCAACACTTGCAAGCCCAAAGCCTTTTTAGTTAATGTGGATATGTGAAATACACTGGTATAAGGATGTGTCAACAGTAGTGACTATGGGAAACAGGTCACTGTTAACAGCATGAAAATTCCATTTTTTAGCACTAGCCAATATAAATAAACAAAATTTTAGCTTATAGACTGACAGTCTGCAGTACTGCTTTATGTGTAGGCTGTGTTCTTGAAAATTTCACATATATATATACACACACACATACACACACACACACATAAAAGCCCATAAATTGTTTTTAATTTAAATAAATTGGTCTTCAGATATCTTGGGGGCAGCCACTTTTGCAGTTTCATATTTTTGTAATGCCAATCCAGCAGTACCAACATTATCTCATCTGTAAATTCAGATCTCTCTACATAAAACTAACAGAAACTCATTACTTAGTATACTGTGGTGAGAAACTTCCTGCCATACCAGCTCCTCTGCCTCCATTAAGGACCATTATGACAGACACACCACACAAAAGCACCCCGTCAGCTAGACTTGTTCCTGGAAATGGCCAGCCACAGAAAATCTTCAGTCTCTAACATTGAATAAGACTTCCTGTTTTGAAATATTCTGAAAATGCCGGCTCACCTAGTTCCAGCACACCAACTAATCTCAAATATACCTGAATAAGTCTCTGCTTCCACATCCCACTTTAATGTAATGCTCACCAATTAGAGACGCTTTCAGCATTTTTTTCTTTTTTACCAGGTAAAATTTACTCTCATTTCTAACATCCTTGTACCTCTGCTGAAATGAAAGTGATGACAGATGGGTTCTCTTCCTGCACATTTATGAATAATCAGCCTGTGTTAATTTTAACTTGGGTTCAGTTTTGTATTTGACAGTGTATGATGTATATTTACTTGTTTCTATCCTACACAGTGTAAAGGCTTTCCGAGGGCAAGAGTGTATATGCTTACATTTTTACTGCCTGACACTGCCTGGCACACTAGGAGATCCAATTTATATTGACTGGACAGATTCATGTGTCTTGATAAAGCTGTTAGTTAAAAAAGAATCCTTAGTTTTAATGGTAGTGTATTTTATGGAAGTAAACAAAGACCATCTGAATGAGAACAAGCAAAGTTTATTTATTCAGAGTTTTTAATTGCAAAGGAATCAGCCATCATTGCTTGCATTTTGGCAGACTCAAAGTGCAGCAGAAAAGTAGGGAAGCTTCATAGTTGAGAAGAGGAAAGGCTTCAACTATTATTCCCTGATTGGAGGCTGTTGTTGTGGGGTGGCTAACTAGAAGTGAAGCATCGATGGAATTGGTTAGAGGTGTATAACTGGCTTTCTCTAGTTGGTCCTAAGTTGGAAGCAGGGACAAAAATTATTAAAGTTGTCAGTTATTAATCAAGGCCTGGTCATTTGGGGTCAATTGTAATAGGAGTTATTGTTTGGCTTCCTGGATTTATTATTAGAGATAACATTCTGACTTCCTACAAGTCAGATGTGTAGCAAGCTGGCATCCTGTGCTGGTAGCTGCAAATTGTGGGTTAGGGTTCTATTTTTCTATATGGTCTGGCTTTCACTCATTTGTATATTCTGTCTCTCAATTCCTTCAGTAGCATCCTAGAAAAGACTCTATTGTTAGTTCATCCTTCTTATTGAGCAGATCTATCTTCCTTATCCAGACTCTAAAAGCTTTAGGGATCCCTATTGCCTAACAAAAAAAGTCAAAATCCTTTAGCCTGGCACAATCCAGACTCAAACCATCTTCTCGGCCTTTATAGCCTGCTGTTCTCTTCCATGCATCCAGCAATGTAAGCAAACTGGAGTCCTTTCTATTGCAAAATACAACTATGCTTTCTGGCTTTTGTGCCTTCAAATCAGCTCTCTCCTTTTTTTCTGATCTCTTCTCCATCCACTTTCCATCTCTGCCAATTCCTAGCTGAGAATCCCTGAAGGCCAAGTTGAAATGTATTTTCCTTTTCTGAACATTTCATAAAACTTCACTTTAAATGCTTTTCAGAGTAAAGTACTATGTAACTATAATATGTATACATTGCTTTTATCTATGTTAGAAAAATTATCTAAACCTTGAAAATAAGAAAAAATGTGAATAGCACATTTTTTCAGTGTCCCATGAAAGCAAAACATCATTTATGGGAATGTACATGATTACCTCACTATTTACCCAAGGTCTAAGACTTAAGAAAGGGAAGTTAGACTTTTAAACTGATTTTTTAAAAATTAGACTTTAACTTGTAGACTTTTTTAGAAAGATGAAATTAATTTCTCTCTTGTACGATATACAATTCCAAAATTTTATATCCCTTTCTATGAGTTTTGTCTCTAACCTGGTGATCTCAAATAATATTACTTACAAATAATTACTTTTCAAATGTTCTTTATATCAATTAAAACTTCTTATTAGGCCCGGCGCGGTGACTCACACCTGTAATCCCAGCACCTTGGGAGGCCGAGACGGGCGGATCATGAGGTCAGGAGTTCAAGACCAGCCTGGCCAACATGGTGAAACCCCATCTCTACTAAAAATACAAAAATTAGCCAGGCATGGTGGTGTGCACCTGTAATCCCAGCTACTGGAGAGGCTGAGGCAGGAGAATCTCTTGAAGCCAGGAGGCAGAGGTTGCAGTGAGCGGAGATCACACCATTGCACTCCAGCCTGGGCAACAGAGTGAGACTGTCTCATAACAAAACAAAACAAAAACAAAAAAAACTTACTTGTTCCTTTGTTAATTAAGAACTAGAATACAATTTTTGACATGTGTACATTTTATATATTCATGAGTCATGCTTTTACCCATTTGGAAGTTATACTTTGAGATGGGTGTGTTAAAAACACTGTTAGGAGAGTGAACTATTCTGTATGGAACTAGAATGGTGGCTACATGTCCACCATTTGTCCCAACTCACAGAATGCACAACATCAAGAGTCAACCCTAATGTGAACTATGGAGTCTGGGGGATATAATGTTTCAATGTTGATTCATGGATTATAACAAATGGACCACTCTGGTGGGGGATATTGATAATGGGAAAGGCTAAGCATGCATAGGTACCAAGGTTGTATGGAAAATCCTGTGCCTTCTGCTTGATTTTATTGTAAACCTAAAACTGCTCTGGAAAAATAATTAATTAAAAGCAAAACAAAACGTAACACCTTAAGGTGTGCTTTAATTTTTTTCCATTGTTTATTTCCTTAGAGGTCTCATTCCATTGTGTTATATATAATATACGTTCAATACATGCTTGATGAATAGCCTATCCAATTTTGGTTAATAATGAATCCAAAGAAACATTTCTTTTTGAATAACCAGAATATAATCTTATATCTTTAGTGAAAATTTATGTTTTGGTTAGGTTTTTTTTTATTAGCCAAACGATATTTGGCTCATCATGTAAGTTGATTAAAATGTGTAAGTGAAATGTATGTTTACTTATATCATCAGATGACAATAAATAATTTGTATTATTAATAAAAAATGTAAAGCACACAAATAAGCCATAACCTCAATTAAAAAGTCAAACAACGCTCTTAAAGCTCCACATTATCAGGTGGCATTACTCAGTCAGAGGTATCTTTATAAACTCAAAACCTGTAATTTGGCCTACAATAGCACCTGAAATGAATTTAATTCCCTGATGTCAACACAAACAATTTCAAAGTGAAGTTTTCTATGCATGTAGAAAGTTATATATGGAAGTTCTTAAGTTACCTGACAGAAACAAATCCATGTTGTAGACAAAATGTCAGTGGGATTTAAGAAGAAAAAAAAAAAAAAAAAGAGGTTACATGAGGGACAATGAGTTATCTCAAGCTTGAAATTAACATATAATCTGCAGCAAATACATATACTTGTGAAATAGCTTTATCCAAAAGAAAATCCGTCTCGTGTAAATTTTCAGCAGTAATATATGAAAAGGATAATACATCATTCCCAGGAGGCTTTATCTAAAGAACAAAAAGCTGTTTTAACTCTCAAAAATCAATCAGTATAATTCATCATATTAATAGAATAGAAAAGATAAGCCATATGATTATCCTAATAGATGCATAAAAAGCAATTGACAAAATTCAATACTGATACCTAAGAAGAATTTTGCGTAGAGTAAGATTGGAGGGGAATTTCTTCAATCTGATAAAGGGAACCTATGAAAAACCTGCAGTTGACTGTGTACTTAATGGCAAATTATTGAACTCTTTCCCAATGAGATCAGAAACAAATCAATGATTACCATTATCACCACTTCTATTCAACATCATACTAGAAGTCTGTTTATGTAAAAAAATCTTAAACTATCTAAAAACAGCTACTAGGCCTAATAAATGGACTAAACATAGTCACTACAGATAAGGTTAATATGCCAAAACCAACTGTATTTTTATATACTAGCAGAAAACAGGAAAAAAAGTTAAAATTTTAAAATCTACGATAGCATTAGAAAACAAGTTATTTAGACTTTCTAAATTTATGAATGTTTTGGAGAATTTTATCTTAGTGATCTACATGTATGGTGTACTTTGAGCAGTATATTTTATACATGGTCTACTTTAATCTTCAAAACAACTTTATGAGGTAGGTGATGTTTTTCCTACAGCACTTGTCAAAACGACACGGCTTGAAAGAGACAGAGATAGGGTTTAACTCTGTGTTGAGAAAGTGACTCTAAGTCCATACTGTTCCTATTACACCTCAGGAAAAATTACAAAGTATTACATTAGTCCATTAATATTTTAATGAATCATTTTCCCATAGGTATCAGTAGGCTTAAAGCACCTTTGATAAAAGTTACTTTATATCAAAGTACCTTTATTCATTACAAATAAATGTTGTTATAGGCTAAGAGAGACTGATTTAGAAAAAGAGTAAAAATTTTTTTTAAATGAAAATGGTAGCAATTATTATAAAATTGCATCCAACTATTGGGGTAAAAAGATATAGATCTTCAATATGCTTAGTTTTTTAATATCTTAAAATATTAAAAATGTCCAGTCACATGGAATTAAAATGGAACGTTAAAAAAATACATGTGTAAAAAACAACTATTGCTGCCTTGGCAGTTTCACCTACTACTTTGGTGAATTTCTGAAAGGACTCATATAACTCAACACAAAATTATACTCATGGCTAAGATTTATTACAGCAAAGAGTACACGGCAAGAACAGCAGGAAAAAGCTATACATAGACAAATCATATAGTGGCTTTCTTGTCCTTCCTCTGCATGGATTGCACAGACACATCTTTCTCCTCAGCTTTGAATTGCAGGAAGAAGTGAGAGATGCCCTTGCCCAGTAAAACCTTTTAAAGGTAGCTGGTCACACAGCTACCACATGACCAGCCATAGTGCAGACCCCAAAACAGGTGTGTATTATGAATCTTCATGTTTGTTCTCAATGTGCTGACAACCTCCTTCATCTTGACCCACTGTTTCTACACATATAGAATAACATCACTACATAGTAACTATGTGAACATTCCAATAGTTTTGTTTTGAGGACTTGACCAAGGATCATCACCATGGCTGCAGTGATAATTAAGAACTGAATGAAATAGACTGCTACATTAATTGTTTCCCTGCTATTGCATAAGATCATTGATAAGAATGTTGGTAGGACTTTTGCCTGGAATTCTGTTAAATGCCTTTCTTGAAAGAGAAGAAAGTTCAGCAAAGGACAGATCAGGCTAACAGACCAGCCTGTTCAAGATTCTTAGGTTATGAAACAACTTTTAATGTGGTTTTACTGATTCAGCAACATGACAAGCAGTAATGAGACTACTAAGGAAAATAAACCTGTCTCTGCTAGAGATGAAGATACAGAGAGGAAAGACTGGGTCATGAATAGAGTACAGCAAAAAAAGGCTGAGTCCTGGTTTGGTTTGGTTTTATTCCTAGTTATCAGCTAGCTAGCCAGATAGATTGACAGATAAATAAACAGATGGACCATGTTGGTTACTTTGTGAGCTTATGAAAGTAAATGTGTGTCTTATAAGAATTAAAATAGTTTATCACTATATTTGATGTATTCTTCTATACCTTACACTAGTTCAATATACGCTTAACATATACTTGGTAAATTGATGCATTCTGAGCAAATGAATACATTAATGTGCATTTTTTTTTCAAAAATTAGTTTGTTTCTGGATTTATAAAAATGTAAACAGCTCTTAAATTTTTTATTTATTACCAAGAAGGCCATTCATTATATGGTCCATACATATGCATTCATTTTGTGCTCTAGGGAATGCTATGATCAAAACACCACCACTTGGGAAAAAGGAAAAAGTTCTACTGCAGATTTTAGTTAATGAGCAACAGCTGCAGACAACAGTCTGCAACTGCATCCAAGCAAAGAGTGAAGTAGCAGAAGTAGGACTCTGACTAGAAGAAAAATTTGCCTCTAAAAACAAAGCTAAGATAAAAACATAGAATGTTATGTTTAATATAATTAATTAAATTCTTAAAGGATGCATGTATACACTTGGTATTTACTTAGGAGTCTATATGAATTTAGCACTATAGAAGTATAATCAATCTATGCTATTTCCTTGAATTAAATTGATTTTATTCATTAGTCATGGTCTAGTGAGAGATGATATTATTTCATATTAAATGCAGGCACATGTGTAAGAAAAATAGCTCTTATTTCAAATAGTTAATATACTATACTGAATAAAGATAATATAAAATAAAAAGGAAACAAAATAAAAGTAACCAATAAAATAACTTTTAAAAAGTGCTTTATGAAGAATATAAATATATTGAGATAAAAACTATAAATAACTTGGAATATGTTGATTGGAACCAATTATTTCACATAAAGAAAATGGGGCTGGGCGTGGTGGCTCACACTTGTAATCCCAACACTTTGGGAGGCTGAGGTGGGCAGATTGCTTCAGTCCAGGAGTTTGAAACAAGCCTGGGCAACATAACAAGACCTCCTCTCTATTTTTAAAAATAAGAAATAATTTTTAAAAAGGCATGAATCAAAAATTCATTAATTTATGTGATAAATATTCACTCAGCAATTAATGTAAGGCCCTATGCTAGATTCTGTGAAGAATGAAAGGATGTCATAGTTTCTGTTCTCAAAGAGCTTTCACTATATTATGTGAATAAGAGAGATGTATGTAATTGTAATATATGATACAATATAATTATACAAGAGAGATTAACAAAGTCCCATGAGTTTTTGAAAATAAAAGGAGTAGTTTTTAGAGATAAGAGGGAAAGTTTTATGAATGCAATGGCATTAAAGCAGGGTTTTAAAGCGTTAATAAAGTCATTCATTTCACAGATATTTATGGAATGTCAATTTTTCATCGGATGAATAAACTTGATTTTCTGTAGTCTATGAGTTTATGATCTATAAGCAAAAGATTAAACAATTTGTTCAAAGCCATCAAACAACTGAAGGGTAAAGAAAAGATTCGAGACCAGGCAATTTTGCCTCCAGAGTGCCTGCTGTAATCACCCACTAATAAACGCTATAACAGTTGAGAGAGAACATATAGAGGCACAAAACAGAACACCTATTATTCCTACAGAAAGTAAAAAGAAAAAAAAATTAATGGAGACTGTTTTAAATATAATATGAAATAAAAAGTTAATGTATGATTAGAGATAAAATCTGATAACAAAATCATATCAATAATCTATTAAAATTTAAAAATGGACATCAGGATACACAGAAATGGTATGTAACTTTTTTCTTTCCTTTTCTTTTTTGCACCAGGATCAAATCTAGAGGGACAATATATATATTTATGGATTATACTTTTTCATTTAAAATGAAAATAGTTTGGTTGAGTGGAATGAGAGAAAATATTTATACTTGTTACTTAAATTACCTGTTTTATTAAAAACAAGAATGCCAATGAGAAAATTGGTTCAAGACAAATGTTAGTATTCAAGGATTAAGATATCAGCTCTATCTAATTCCCTACTACTTCGATAACAATATTCTCTGTTGCAACTACTAACAACTCAGTGTTTATTGAACATACTGAACTCTCCTTACCATTAATAGCCTTCTCTCCAATTAGAATTTCTTTAATCCTACTGTGACAGATTGTATTTCCCAAAGATGGCCTCAACATCCTATATGCTTTTCTGCAATGTGTTCTTGCAACTCCTCCACCGAGCAGTGGAGTCTATTTCATCACATCCTAGAACATAGACAATTTTTAACAGCTTTGACAAATATAATATGACAAAAATGATTCTGTGCCAATTTCACGCATAGGATGTAATTGTCCCAGCAACATCTGCTTTCTACCTTTTGGTACCCAGCTTCCATGTAAGAAGCATAGAAATGTAATTACCCTGGGATTGTCATGTTGTGAAAAGGTGCTAGATCCATTTCAAAAATAGGAATGAAGAAGCAGCTTTCTGATTTTGAGTGTGGAAATATATTTTCTGACTGCATCATCTTATGGATCTATCTCATGTGGCTTTTGCCATGGTTGCATGAAGACAAGATTGGGGATCATCAAAAGATAATTCTGAGGATAAACCTTGAGAGGTTGAGGAGTTGGTGGGACTCAGCAACAGATTATGAAAACTGATAGACCAGAGGTACCAACAGCTCCAGGATAATATTTACAAACAGGAATGTGAAGGGTGAAAGAGACTGCAAAGAAGTTTAGTGAGTGGGGAACAGAAAGATATCTGACTTCTAGTTTAGGTTGTTACTGATGCCTTTGGTGAAAGCACGTTTGGTGAAAAGTAAAGTTGAATGCATTTTTAAAAATTATCTATTACTGCACAGCAAACTACCCTAAAACTTAGTAGTTTCAATCAGCCATCTTATGTTTCCTGTCATCTTATGGGTCAGGAGTTCAAAAAGGGCTCAACTGTGTGATTGTCTCTGCTCCATCCAACGGGGCATCAGCAGGGTCAGGAGGATCCATTTCTAAGAGGATTTCTTCACTTCTTCACTCATATGTCTGGTGCTTTGGTTATCCTTGGTCTCTCTCTCTCTCTCTCTATCTCTCTCTCTCTCTCTCTCTCTTTCTCTCTCTCTTTCTCTTCCCCCACCCCAACCTCCCATCACATAACTCTGCATCTTCTAGCACCTTTTCACAACATGACAATCCCAGGGTAATTACATTTCTATGCTTCTTACGTGGAAGCTGGGTACCAAAAGGCAGAAAGCAGATGTTGCTGGGACAATTACATCCTATGCGTGAAATTGGCACAGAATCATTTTTGTCATATTATATTTGTCAAAGCTGTTAAAAATTGTCTATGTTCTAGGATGTGATGAAATAGACTCCACTGCTCGGTGGAGGAGTTGCAAGAACACATTGCAGAAAAGCATATAGGATGTTGAGGCCATCTTTGGGAAATACAATCTGTCACAGTAGGATTAAAGAAATTCTAATTGGAGAGAAGGCTATTAATGGTAAGGAGAGTTCAGTATGTTCAATAAACACTGAGTTGTTAGTAGTTGCAACAGAGAATATTGTTATCGAAGTAGTAGGGAATTAGATAGAGCTGATATCTTAATCCTAGAGCTTTGAAGACCACCTGAGAAGATAGGTTTAATTAAATAGACCAGTCAATTTCAGTAGTGGAATGATACGATCAGAAATTATCTTATCATTTTTGATATTTTTTCTAATGTTTAGACTATTCACTTGACTTAATGAAAGCAGTATGAGGGGACTAGTAGTTGGAGGCTAATAAGAGGCTATTGTGGTAATTCACATGAAGGGGTAGTTTGAAATGGCATTGAAGCAACAGAAATAGACAAGAGCAAACATTAAAGAACGCTTCAGATGTAGAGAAGAGAAGCGCCATGAACATCATAAGAAAGGGCTATAAAGAAACTCAAGGAAATCTTTCTGGCTGTAGGCAGGGCTGAAGAGATTATTATGTCTTTCCCTTAATTGTCTCCTGGAAATATATTTTAGAAGTTTTTCAAAAGGTTTCATTTAGGTTTACGTAATCCGCATTGTAATTGTTGAATGTCTGCACTTCCAAGAGGCATCAGAAGAGGGTCGCAATTGCAGATGTGAGATCATCTTTTTCTGGAGAAAGATCTACGTGTCCTCAAGGCAGAGAAGGCTAGGTCTCCCTGTAGGATTTTCTTCAGATCTACTGATTGACTCTGGTGAGAATGAAAGGGAAGTTGTATGTATAATATAAATATTTAAGTATAGTATTTATGTAACTATGTGTCATTTATCATTTTATTTCATCCACTAGTTGGTTTTCAAGTATATGTCTTTTATATTTCTCTATATTTCAATTTATGTCAACATTGCTAGTCTTAACAAAATCCCAAGCTTATATAAACTTTATATTTTTACTAGTGGTTAGCAGGGTGCTTGACACATAGTAAATACCCAATATTTCTGTTGAATAAGTAAGGGAATATGTGGCTGTTCAAATAATTTAAAGTCCTCTGTATCTTCTATGAAAGTTCTGCTTCATTATGTGTGTTAATATGGACACCAATCATACAGCCCTATTTGGATCTCTTATCTAATAATGCAGGAAATGGTATCAAGAGAAGTATATATGGAAGGATCATTATAATCATGACATCAACTTTTTGGTCCCCAGAATATTCTACTTACCTGTATCACCTCTTATGGCTAGATAAAGGAAAAAAACAAAACAAAACCCCAAACAACAGAAATCTCTAACTGCTACTTTAAAATTGGAGCTCCTCTTGGGGTAATAAATTTCCAAGTTGGCTACACAATGTATTAAAAAGTGTTTTGTTTTGTTTTGTTTTGTTTCAAACTTGTATTAGTTGTTTCAGGAGTGAGGGGTGAGTGGTGATGATGGAGAGTCCTTTTGAGATTATCATGATGTAGCCTTATTTCAATTCTGTTCCCTTTATTTCAAAACTTTTCAAAAGTAAAGATGGTAAAAGGGATACAGCCCTTTTATGAAGTATGGCAGCAGTTTCTCCAAAATCTGGCATCAAATAGAATGCCTACTTCATTTCCTCCCAATGACCCAGACGTATTTTTCTAGCTTCTGTCCAGCAACCCCAAAATGTATCAAGGTCCTTGCAAAAGTCTTTTTAGCCCATGAAAATTATTCTGTACTCTTTACATTAAATAGTGGGAGTTGTAGGATGTAGAAATTAACTTTATTTTCTCCCACTGGTCATTGAAACCCACTCTATAGGGATAGGGCAGGTCTCATAGTTTCTCTGGGATCTTTTGAATATTAAAAAGTCCTCCATTCACATTTCCTCATTCTGGTTTTTGAAATATCCATTCTTGTGTAATAGTAACCATGAGTTATGTAGAAACCTGATTAATATTGCCTTGGAAAACTATGACAATTAGTGAAATCTGACATCTTATCTTGCTTCTGACTTCCAAGCTTTCCTTGCCCATTCTTGGCATAGGCCAATCTAACTTTGTGAAGGATTTAGATTATAGTTTAACTTGAAAGCAAAAATGATAATAGTCTCCCCCTAAAACTAACTCCCTCCTTGCTCAGGGACTGAAAACCACCTTTGTAAGATTAAGAAAAGACCACAAGAATGAGATCATGGAAGGGACCCAAACTCTGCTAAAATGTTTCTGTAGTTTCTATAATCTCTTACTGCTCAGGAGTCATGTCGCCAAAGGTCACAAGATTTATGACTTCCTTAATTGCTTCTATTGATAACATCACTATTGTAACAGCCAAGTTTTTTTTTTAAATATTTTTCAGACTGACCCAACTCAGGCCCATGATTCATGACTCAACTGGTCCTGTGGCCTTACGCAGAGGCAGACTCAGCACATAAGGATTTTTTTCCATGCCCCTATGATTTCATTTCCAACCAATCAGCAGCATTCACTGCCTAGCCTCCTACCCATGAAATTGTACATAAAAACCCTGAGCTCAAAGACTTTGGGAAGACTGATTTGAGTAAAATGCCTGATTCTCCTGTGTGGCCAGTCTCGTGTCAATTAAACTCTCTACTACAATGCCATGGTGTCAATGCATCTTGTCTGTGCAGTGCGCAGAAAGAACCCACTGGCAATTACATTACCAGTAGCTATCGCTCTTCTGTCCTTCAAACAGGAAATACTTCAACCCTGGTAAGTCAATTAGGGTTTCTCATTCATTTGCGGAGCTCCTGGTGGCCTGGCCTGAGACTCTCTCTGCGGCTCCTGTAACTCAGTGGCCCTTTTCATTCTCAGAAACATTTTTCCTGAACCTGTGTGTTCCCTGCCTCAATCTGTATTGGCTAATTTCTAGGCCTGTTAAATAACTGTCAATCTTGACCCCATCATAATTACCATCTAGAAATGCCATTTGTCTCTCATTTTTGTCATATCTCCTGCTTCCTGGATTCTGGGAAGTTTATGCTTTGGGTGACAAATATCCATCTGAGAAAAAAAATACATGAAACTTCTTTAAATTCTTTACTCCATAATACTTGAATGCCATGCATATATAAAGACATAATTATTATTCTGTCATACTGGATTGTGAATCAGGCTAGATACAGTGGTTTTCAGTGACAGATTTGAAAAAAACAGCTGCAATATCTGCTACCTGCTGTTTGATTTTTTAAAAAGTTTCCTGTAAGGTATGTGTGTGTGTGTCTGTGCACATTTGTGTGTTTGTGTGTGTGTGTTTGAGGTGTGTGTGACTGATTGAATTTTGGAACTTTTTACGATCTTCCTTTTTCTCTACATAGTACTCTGAATTTTTTTTATTACATGCCTTGGTGTAGAAAACTTTTTACTTACTGTGCCAGACAGTTAGTGGCTTTTTCATTTGGAAACTCATATTCTGGAAAATTTTCCTCAGTCTTTAAAATTTTATTTTCCTCTCCAATTCACCCTTTCTTTCTCTTTCTGGATGTGCTCTTGGACAGGTATAAAATCCCCAAAATTTATACCTTATTTTCTTATTTTCTCTCTTATTTGTTATCTATTTTGTTTACTTGATACTCTATCGAGCCTTTCTTCTCAGAGTGCCTGAGACTGGCAACATTAGCATCATCTGCAAACTTGTTGGCAATGTACAGTTTCAGGTCCCACTCCAGAAATGTGCCTTTAATCAAATTCTCCAAGTGATTCTATGCACAATGCAATTTGAGAAGCATATCTCTAGAATTACTGTGCACTTGTGCTTCAGTCATTATGTTGAATTTTTAAATTTCTACTGTCATATTTTTAATGTCCCTATGATCCTTTTTTGGTCTCTGAATATTACTTTTTATAATAGCATTCTCTCCTTGTTTTATGAATAAAATATTTTCTCTCTCTGATGATATAATTACACCTTTTGCAGTTTTTTTCCCTACACATGTGTGTGATCTCTATTTCTCTAAATCGTTTCAGTCTTTTTATTTGTTTTGGTCTTAGTCATTCATGTTAGAGTTGTTTTTTTAATACCTGATCATTTTGACTGCTCATTTTAAAAGTGAGACACTAGAAAGATGTGTTTGTTGAACTGGAGATAAGGTAAGTACATGACCTTGTCTTATCTATCAATATAGAAAGGTTTATTTCTTTTAGATGAATCACTTTTTACAAAACTTATAAGCCTGACTATTATCAGCATCTTGATGAATTAGGGGAAGCAGCTGAGAGGTGATAACCATTCAGAATTCGAAATTTACTTAAGCCTGTTTGTATTCAGTAAATCTAAATACCCATATTGTCTGACTAGTATCCTTAAGCTCAATGACTATTGCATCAACACATATAAAGATTACCTATCACATTGGATTGCATACAGAAAATGTGGTACATATTCAACATGGAATACTACACAGCCATAAAAAGGACAAACTCATGTCCTTTGCAGCAACAAGGATGCAGCTGGAGGCCATGATTCTAAGTGAATTAATGTGGGAACAGAAAACCAAGTATCACATGTTCTCACTCGTAAGTGGAAGCTAAACATTGACTACATATGACCATTAAAAATGGCAGCAACGGACACTGGGGACAGGAAGAAAGAAGCGGGGCATGGGCTGAGAAACAACTTATTAGATACTATGCTCACTACCTGGGCGATGGGACCATCTTTATCCCAAACCTCAGTAGCATACAACATACACGTATAACAAACCTGCACATGTACCCTTTGAATCTAAAATAAAAGTTGAAATTATTATTTTATTTTCATTTTGATTATTATTATTATTTTTTGAGATGGAATTTCGCTCTTGTTGCCTAGGTTGGGGTGCAATGGCATGATCTCAACTCACTGCAAATTCCATCTCCCAGGATCAAGCAATTCTTCCTCAGCCTCCCAAGTGGCTGAGATTACTGGTGCCCAACACCATGCCTGTTTTTTTTTGTTTTTTTTTTTAATATATTTTTATCAGAGACAGGGTTTGACCATGTTACCCTGGCTGGTCTCGAACTCCTGACCTCAGGTGATCCGCCAACCTAGGCCTCCCAAAGGGCTGGGATTACAGGCGTGAGCCACCGCACCAAGTCAAAATTTTTTTTTGAAAAACTGACTCTCCCATCTGTTGGCATAGAGAAACAATAGAAAATGGTGGCTCTCCTGGCTGGTATGTGGGATCTGGCAGTTTAAATGCCTCATGTACAAATTTTTCTGGGTTTAGCATCATCTAATATCCTCACCTTGAAATGTATTATCTGCCATCAATTCTAAAATCTTTCTGAAGTTTTGGGAGGACAACTCAGCTTGCTTCTTATTAGTTTTGCTTCTGAGATACTTAATGTTCAGCTTTCTTAAATCTAATAAAGCAGTTTCTACCCATATCTCAGCTTTCCAAATTCAAAACTTTTGTTGATGAGTCTTGTATCTGGTATCTTCTCTCTATTCTCTCTTCCCATTTTTGACCTTGGGAATTTATATTTTCCTTTCCATCTACTGTCATTTTAGTGGAGTGTGTAATGAAATAAAATTTTTAAAATTGTGTGTTCTTTTTTACCAGGATGTCTATGTTATCTCACTTTATCTGTACAGCAATCCTGTCCTCCAGTGACTATATTGCAATGAGTTAAGAA
The DNA here is from genome assembly GCF_000001405.40 of Homo sapiens. NCBI lineage: Eukaryota > Metazoa > Chordata > Mammalia > Primates > Hominidae > Homo > Homo sapiens. The sequence goes on along the minus strand of NC_000011.10, from coordinate 104,691,536 downwards.
GAGAGTTTCAGAAAGATAACATGCCTGGCCAAGGTATTAACAAGAAATAAAAGTAAAAATAAAAAACCTACTAAAGAGTATGTACTTGTAACAATATTTTCTGACATTGAGTTCCCTGGTATTTCTACTATATTATGTATTGCAGGGCTGAGTCACCAAACTACAGCCTACATTCCAAAAACGTCACACTGAGTGTTTTTGTCAATAAAGTTTTATTGAAACACAGTCATGCTTATTTGTGTATTAGTGGCTGTTTCCACACCATGATGGCAAGAGTTGGTAATTTTTTTTTTTTTTTTAACAGAGTCTTGCTCTGTCACCCAGGCTAGAGTGCAGTGTGATCTCGGCTCACTGCAGCCTTCACCTCTCAGGCTCATGTGATTCTCCTGCCTCAGCCTCATGAGTAGCCAGGATTGCAGGTGTGTGCCACCACCTCAACTAATTTTTGTATTTTTAGTAGAGATGAGGTTTCATCATGTTGGCCAGGCTCGTCTCGAACTCCTGGCCTCAAGTGACCCTCCCACCTTGTCCTCCCAAAGTGCTGGGATTATAGGCATGAGCCACCGTGCCCAGCCAGATGACCATTTTTCAAAGAGACTGCAATGCCTAAAGTATTTTCTCACCTATTCAGAAAAAGTTTGCCAGTCTCTACTTTAAATACTTTTATGGTGGCTACCTCGAATCACCCAATTCTACTAACCCTGTCCTCATCTTTGCACATAGTTCCACCTCTGGAAAATGTAAATCTCTTTATCTTACTGTACTGTAACTTTGTTTATGGAGAGCGTGTATGATTTAACCAGGTTTTAAAATAATCGTATAAGTCATATCATCTCTGACTTTTTATATCCCCCAACTTAGAGGCAATTTTTTTCACTTTGTAATTCATTTTGGTTCATAAAAATATTTATAACTATCTAGGCACCTGGTAGATTTTGGGGAAAGAATATTAGGACACTGTCTTTATTTACTTACTCTAAAATTGTAAGTACAATTGGTGACTTTATAATTTCACTACAAGCTCTATGAACACATCTGGATTTGGTCAGAGAGCACCACATGTCTTTGTTAAATAGAAGCATCTGCTATGTCTTTGTATCTTATTAAATCCTAATATTAGTAACACTGATCTGGTTAAACACGGAAATTTCAACATATTCTTAGGCTCTATCTCATTCATCTGATAACCCGTGTATGTGGATGTTTTCCTATTTCTGTACCCAAAAAACAAGTAAATCTGGAAGAGTAATCTGTTGGCACAAATAGGCAATTCTGCAGCATGAATATAGCCACTTTAATATTTTTATTATGTTTTAAATTCACGTCTCCATAAGTACAATTTTTTAATTTAAGACATGGATATAAGGGATTTTTATGTGTGTAGTGCAAACCACAAAAATCATAATATTCAGCATGATGGAATTTATTTACTGCTTGCCATCAAAGACATATTCTTTGGAAATAAACTAGCACATAATGAAACTTCATATTCCAAAATAAAAAATAAAAAGTGAAAATAGCCAGCAATTTAAGAATAAAATTGAAAAGAATTACCAAAATCATTGAAATAATTATTTTTGGTAGAATGCTACCAGAAAGATATTTAAGCGGATTTGGAAGGAATAGACAGATGGTACTATATATGGCATTATATAATTCAAAGATAGGATGATAGAGTCCCAAAATGCCTGAACCTGACAACAAAGAACCTGAATTTTATTCTATTCTCTGCGCTAATTGCTCTGTGACATTTGCTGTATTCTAGGCATCAACTTCATCATGAAAAGCTAGAACACAAAAATACAGAAACTAGTGGTTAAATCTGGTGGTTTTTTAAAATAGCTCATTCACATTTTAACACTCCACAATACAACTGGAATTTACTGATAGTTATCTCACATACAATGTATTAATAATTTTGCAAGTTTAGTGCACAAAGAAAATTCTCACTTCATACTCTAGTTTAAAAATGAGTGAGAACATTTTTCTCAGTCTAAAAATTTCTGATCAGATTTTGCCTAGTTCTGAACACCCTGAACATTAGTAAATCTATCAGGATGTTTTGTCTATGATTATGCTCCACTGAAATAAAATTGTATCTTCTAATACTTCTCCTGAAAATTCAGATAAGCCAGACATTCTGCATATTCTGCTCATCTTTGCATACCCACACCCTGTAAAGTAACAAGCCTAAGCAGCATTTAAATACTTAACACTTTCATGCTAAGTCTATGAAGAAACATTGAAATATAATATTAAAAAATGAAGCTCATCAAAACATCCCAGGACCATCATGTGAATTATCAGCACTTTGTTAAGATAACTCTACATATTTTAATAAGAGTTCTGCAATAACTGCCTATTACCAAGAAAATTAAATTTGAAAAATAGATAACATTTGGCAAGGGGATGATAGATTAAAAAACAATTACTAACTCACAAAAAGGAAGATGTTTATTACATCTTCAAGAGAATATTCGAGTATCTTCTCTTTTACTTACACACTGCTTAATGGGAACTAGAGAAAAGTAACTCTGATGGCAGGCTAATGTTGTAACATAGCCCTAGAAATATTTTCAGTTTCATCACGTCTCAAAGGGAATTTTTAGCAGAGCGCAATCCTTACATTTAAACTCCCAAGAAGAATAAAGAACATTTCCTAGGTGAAGTGAAATTAATGAGTCAGAAAACCCAGGAAGGAGCTACGACAAGTTCCCTTTTGAACAGAGACCTAAGGGAATGGCTCTGTGATTCTGAGATGCCAAGTAAATATAGTAAACTGAATACATTGAACCTAACTAGTAAACCAAACCTCCTTGTCTGAGACAAGGGTGTTCTGATGGGCAGCATATTATTAAATATCACATGTGTGTATTAAAATACATTGGAAATCAGTTTAAATTGTTGTGAAAATATATTTTTACAAAATTTTTGAGTGATACATTGTCCTTCCCAGATACTTAATTCATCCTAAATACCTGATTCTCAGCATCAGGCATTCATTTCCCCACCCCCGCCCCGCAAAAATAAAACTGGGCTGACTATTTTTGTGTGTTTAATTGTGTCCACCAAAAAGATATGTTGAAGTTGTAAATGTGACCCCCACACCTGTAAATTTGACTTTATTTAAAAATAGGATCTTTAGAGATGTAATTATGTTAAGATTAAGTCATAATCAATTAGGGTGATTCCTAATGCAATGATTGTTGCCCTCATAAAAAGAGAAAACAGATAAAGACACAGACTCACAGGTAGGATGCTGTGTAAAGACAGAGGAAGAGATGGAAATTACATGCAAGCAAGCTTAGAAATGGCAAGGATTGCCAGCCACTACCAGAAGCTAGGAAGAGGCAAAGAAAGATTTTACCAGACTCTCACAGGAAACATAGTCTTCCTGACACCTTGATATCAGACTTCTGGCCTCCAAACTGTGAGAGTATAAATTTCTATTGTTTTAAGTCACCCACTTGACAGTATTTTGTTATGGTGGCCCTAGGAACCTAATATAAATATGAAGATGCAGTTAGGAAAATTCACATTATCAAACCTGTTTTCCACATAACAATGTGTTTGATTAATAACGACTACCTTTACTGCAAAGAAAATAAGGTGACATATTTGAGTGGATCAAATCTTGAGAGTGATTTCTTTGATCTCATTTTTTTTTTCCTACCACATAAACAGTTGGTTTCTATAGAGAATATGGAAAAGCAAACTGCAAATAATCAGCTGTTTTCTTTTTTCTTTTTTTGGTCTAATAGGCAAGCATATTGACTAGTCTTATTTTAAGCCTAGGCCTTCCTGCCTGGAATATGCCTGGGTTTCATAGGTTAATCTATTTAGGAATTTCTTTCAGATTGTTTTTGTCTGCCTTCTGGAAAACATGAGTATAAAATGTTTCTGATTTCATGTGGGGACTAAAATTCATTATATGAAGAACTGTAAGGAAATTTTGGGTTGGTAAAAATTTTGCTGGCAGCAGGTTTAATACAAGTATTATGTTAGTCATGCTTGATTGCCTGTATATATAGCTAGATGCATTTAAATATCGATGTTCTGCAAATTTGAGATATTGAAATCCTTCTGAAAATCATTACCAAAACTAGGATGAGTGATACACACAGTATATAGTGAATGCATAAGAATAAATATGAATAAAATAGTAGAGTTGCTTGGCAGTCAAGCATCTGGAGCTCTGTTATTTGTGGAATATAATATTGGTGCCTTTAAACAACTTGGATTTTAAGATTGAAATTGGAATGAGGTTACTGGTTTTAAAGCTTTGATATTTCCAGGCTATTGCAAAAACTCCTGAACCTTTGAATGACAATGCAAAGAACAATTGCCTAGAGAATTAGTTAGCAAAGTAAACCCCACATAATTTACTGCATGGAGGGTGGGAGAGAATTAACATTTCCTAAATAATTATGACCAATATCATTGACTGATTAGTCACCAAATATAAGGACTATAATTTTCACGACACACATATTTTCTCCTCTAATTTAATCTCTGTAAGAACATAATGAGATATTTATTCAAACCCCTTACAGACAAAGAAGTGAGGCTGAAGACTGTCCCCAGTGCCTAAGATATAGTAGCGGTACAAGGAATGTTTGTGAATAGAGGAAAGGCTGAAAAGAAGGAAGTAAATAAAGGAAAGAGGAAAAAAGAAAGGACAAAGGAAAGAAAGAAAAGAAGATAGGGAGAGAGAAAGCAAGGAAGGTTTATTGTTATTAATTCTCAATATAATATTTCTACAAATTAAAGTTACAAGATTTAGAGTTAGGCAACTTCCCAAATGCTTTGTTCCTTTCACTCTAACACATTTATTCCATTGGTATTGTTTATATTTTTAAACATCCTACCAAAATTTATCCTTCTTATATGCTGAGAAAGAGATTCTCCCCTTTTTTTCAGGTATCAGATGAATACTAAGAGCAGAGGATGAATGTCGGTATCTGCCTTTGGCTATTTATATTTTATTCCCCAATTCTACAGCTATTTTTATATCAAAAAATGTAGCATGGAAATAGCAGGAAAATTGCGGAAGGAACTCAATAATATAAATGACAGAACTAACACAAAGGATAGTAGGTAAATAGAATTAATCCATTACAAGCTTTACACGAGGCAATACGATGTAACATCTTAGCAGAGTATGAAAAATTAAGGAAGTATATTTTAATCCTTAGAGCAACTATTTTAAAAGATAATGCAAAGAGGTATATTTGAAAAAACAATAGAGAAATTAAAATAAAATAATACAAATACATTCAGTTAATGAAAAAGAAGACACAAAAAGAATGCCAAATCCAAGATTATATGGGACCAATTTAAAATACTGGTATTTCAAATTATGCTTATCTACATTACATTAAATGTAAATTCATTTAGCACCCAAATTTAAAAGGAAACTTATTCCACCCTGGGTGACAGAGTGAACACTGTCTCAAAAAAAATAAATAAATAACATTATATTTTCTATGAGATGAATTTTAAACATGAATACAATTTCAGTTTAAAGTAAAAATAAGGAAAGAGATACACTAAGCAAATATTAAGAATAAAAATGTTGACATACCTATGTAGCATTTATCATTTCTCTTCTAGGGGAAGAAAACAGATTACCAATATCAGGAATGAAGAAGGATATATTACTGCAGTTCCTATTGTCTTAGAATAAAGAATGGCTTAAGTAATTTTATGTCAATGAATTTGACCACTAAAATTATATAAACAAATTATTTTTAAAACCAACTTAAAAAGATATAATAGTTGGCCTAGGCTTATGTATACAAACACACACACACAGACACACACACACACACACACACACACACTCACAAATATTAAATTATCAAAAACCTTCCCCAAAAGAAAACGCGAAGATCAGTTGGTTTTACTAGTGAATGCTAATATTTAAAAAACATACCAACTAGACATAATAATCTTTCATGTATATTCTTTCAGAATATGCAGATATAGGGGAGGAAAATAATTTTCCCTATACTCAGTTCTCAGCTGAAGCAGACCCCTCTAACAAAAGACAGATTAATAAGAGAAAAACAAATATGAGTGTAACATGTATATCTCATGTATACATGGGAGACAGCCAGAGAATGAGTAATTCTGAAAGAGATGACTTTGAATTAATGCTTATATAGCATCTTCAATAAAGAACAGTGCATTTTTTGAGAAATGACAAGGAGAAGGAAAAGGACTTTGGGTCTCTAAGGCATGGCAAATTGTGCGAAGGCAAATAAATAGTAGATAAAGTAGTGTTAGTAAAGTTTGTTATGTAGATTCCTCTGGTGTCACCTCCAGGGTGATAAGCTTCTAAAGTTGTCTTCAGGTTCAGTTTTTGTTCTTGGGAGAGAAGGCTGGAGGGACACCTTTGTCTTTGTAAATTTGTGTTCTGCTTTTAGTCAATTAGGAGACACCAGAGAGCTTTGCTTGTAATCTGCTTCTTTTCAATTGCCTTCAGCTTAAAATAACCCTCATACCAAGATGGCACAATGTGAGGTGGCATATTCTGGTCTGCACAGGAAAAAGGAAAACATCCTAACTGGTCTGGTATGACTGGCATAAGCTGGATATTGAAACTTGATAAGACATTATAAGAAATTAAAAATTTGGACCAAATTCTCTAAAAAATAGATCTAAACATTCTTAAGAAAATATTAATAACTACATGCAATAAATGCAATAGTATACAAGGGGTAGTTCAGCATTAGAAGGTAGAGTTTATAAGAATTCCAAAAAAATGCAAGTTTGTTTAACACAGAAAATCATTCAAAGTAAGTCAGACATTTACAGAATAAAAGTGAAGAACACATGATCAACTCAATAGAGGCAAAAAAAATGAATTTGACCAAATCCAGTACTCAAGATTAAAAAAGAAAAAAAAAAGATGAAAGAAGAAAAGGCCTGAGAAACTAGGCAGAATGAAGGAAGTTTGAGGTTCTATAAAGGGAATTAAAGAAGTACACCCAACAGAAGTAACCATTAGTGAAATATTGAACACACCCCACTAATGCCTGGAACAAAGTTAAGATGTTTGCACTCAGTGATTCTGTTCAGCATTGAACTTGGTCATTCTATCTACTGTAACTGGGCAAGAAAAAGAAATTAAAAGCTTAAAGTTTATTTAAGAAGAAATAAAATCTTGCTATGTACAAATGACAGGATTGATCATACAATAAATCCTAAGGAATATATAAAACAACTACTTGGGTCAATAAATGAATTCAGCATATCACAGGAAAAATCAATTTTATTTCTAATTACTAGCAGCAAATATATAAAAAGTAAAATTAATGTTATGCAAAATAGCTTCAAAAACAATCTAAAATTAATGAGATGTTCAAAATCTCTATACTGTGTAAATCATCAAAACAAAATAAAGAAGAAATAAATTAATGGAGAGATACTATATTTTTGGATCAGAATATTCAATATTGTTAAGATATCAATTTTCCCCCATCAATCTATAGATTCAAGATAATCTCAATTAAAATTATAGAAGGATTTTGTAACAAAAATTAACAGGTTGATTTAAATATTTGTGTGAAGGTGCAAAAAATTTAGAGTAGATAAAAAAACCTGGAACAAATTAATAAAAGTGGAGCACTTAGAATGTATGACTTTGCTTCATAATTAGAGAAGCAATAATAAAGAAAATGTTATATTGGCTTTAAGAGAGTAAAACTGATGAATTAAACAAAACTATGATTCTGAAATACACCAACATATATGTGGATATTTGATTGTTAGCAAAGGCATTCAGTCCACTGAATTATGAAAGAAAATTACTTTCAATAAATAGTGCTGGAACATCTGGATAGCCATAAGTGAAAAAGGAAAGGAAGGAAACCCTTGACCCTATCACATACCATACACAAAATTAATTTGAGATGGATCATAGATTTAAATATAAAAGCCAAAACAATAAAGATTCTAAAAGAAAACACAGAAGAATATTTTTGCTACTTTGGGTTAACAAATGTTTATTAGATAAGATACAGAAGCCAATAACTGAAAAAAATTGATAAAATTGACTTTGTCAAAATGAAAAACTTCTCATCTAAAGATATTAATAACAGACAAGGCAAAGACTTGGAGAGAATATTGTTCAGTCATATCTCAAAAAAACTTTAATCTAGAATATAAACTATTCCTACAATTTGGAAAAGAAATAAGAAAAAGACAAAGACTTGAACAAATACTGCACAAAGAAAGATATAAAAAATAGTCACTAATAAATAAAGAAGTTCTCAACATTATTAGTTTTCAGGGAAATTTAAATTAAAAGTACATGGTGCCACTGCACATACACTAGAAAAATTAAAATCAGGATTTCCATAATTACTGGTAATAGTATAAAATAATACAACCACTATGGGAAATGGTAGCTTCTTATAAATATTTATCTGATTATGACCCAATAATTACATGTATAGATACTTACACAGGGAAATACAAAATTGTTCACAAAAAACTTATATAAGACCAGGTGTAGGGGCTTACACCTGTAATTCCAGCAATTTGGGGCTGAGGTGGGAGGATCACTTGAGTATAGGATTTAAGACCAGCTTGGGCAACATAGACGGACTCTGTCTCTCAAAAAAAAAAAAAAAAAAAAATTAGCTGGGGATGGTAATGCATGCATGTGGTCCCAGTTACTCTACTTGGGAAGTTGAGGTGGGAGGATTGCTTGAGACTAGGAGGCTAAGGCTGCAGTGAGCCATGATTGTGCCACTGCACTCCAGCCTGGGCTACAGAGTAAAATCCTGTCTTAAAAAGGAAAAAAAAAAACTTATATACAATTCATGGCAGCTTAATTCACATTAACCAGCAAATATAAATGCCTATAAACATAGATAAAATAAACAAAAAATTAGTATATTCATTCTATGAAATACTATTCAGGAATAAAAAGAACAATGTACAATAAAACAGGAAAAAACTCCTGAAACACCAAAAGGTCCTAGTTTTGTAGAAGACATTAAAACAAAAATGCAAGCAAGTATATAGAAAAGGGTGGTTCTCTTCCCAAAGTGGAAGGCAAGTTCATCAATTATGTGAAGAATTGCTTCCAGATGACTGGGAATAGGAGGTTGTTCAAGATCTCTGGCAGTGGAGGAAGTCTCCTTAAGAAAATAGTTTAAACAATTTGTTAATTTTTTTCTGTCTTATTTCATTTCTACAACAGTAGATATCTGGCTGTCCTTTTTATAATGCGGAGTGAGAACTTTCCCTATAGTGTTTGATCAATATTGTCCAGGTTCCATTGCCAAGAATGTGTTGTCCAAAATGCCTGTTTAGCTTTTAAAAATGGAACTCCACCCTTTGCTTGGTTTTATGTCTGTATGGAATGTTATGATAAAATATAGTAGTAACAGTGGTCAGACATGGAAATGGTGGGGAGACAAAAATATACATGTGAAATAAAACTCAGTATTTTAATGAAGTAAAAAATGATGTACTGATATGTACAATTACATCAGTGAACCTCACAGTCAATATGTTGAATGAAAGAAGTTAGTCATAAAAGAACACATGTTATTTGATCTCATATATATAATATTCTAATATAGGCAAAACTACTCTATGATGGGAAATTAGAAGATTAATTACTTTTAGGAGGAAATGAGTCACAAAATATATAAGGCATCTTTCTGAGTGATAAAATTATTCTGTATTTTGGCAGGGATGTGGGCTACAGAGGTGCAATTTACCTCTAAACTCTAAAATTCTAACTAAAAAATTTACTGAATTATAAATTTAAGATGTGCATTTCACTGTATGTCAATTTTGCCTCATAAAACTAGTTGTATATAAATATTGATTTTTTTTAGCAAGTTTGTTTTTCACAGTGGTATGGGTTAGAAAAGCTAAACCCTGTGGGTAAATGGACAAATGCATTGAGAATAATGGAAGTCAATTTCCTCACTGTTGAGGAGGGAGAAATATTGAAATAGCAATGACTACAATGTACACACTCCTGTTGAATCAAAATTAGAACTATCACTATATATCATTACAAAATTATGGATATATAGGAAGGTATAAAATAACTCTAGATGTTAGTTCTCTCATATCAGAAGGCTCAGAAGCACACCCATAGTAATGAGCACACTTCGGAATCAGATATTGTTTCATACACACCATTCAACATGAAATAGAACCAAAGCTCCTTGAAGAAGTGCCTGATTCCAGGGCTGGGGAAGGAAAAGTTTTAGATGAGCCTGGATCATCTTATGCAAAAAAGTAAGGTAGTAAGATAGTGCACAAAGAATCCAGGGTCATGGCAAAAAGACACTGAAACCGTCTTGAAAGGACTGCCACCGAACAAATCTGGGATAATTTAGGCAATATAATAAGTAATGAGGTAATAAATTATAAACTGTTGAGTAAAATAAAAATCGAGTCCATACTGATATAAAAATTAATTAATTTATAGAGGGGAAGGGAAAGCTCTTCCTTATAATAGGATGTCAACTAATAAATATAGAAAAAACAGTGGAATTTAAAATATGTCAATTGATGCTGAAACTTGTACCAGGAAATTTGATGAGAATCAGAAATTTCTATTACATCAAAACATCTTCCCACATTTTTGTTAGTGTGGTAATATCATTATAACTAAAATGACCAAAGCTAGCATGGCCGATATTGGGATGAACTGACACCATGCTCCTGATATGAGTTTTCCTCATAATCTAATTACGATAAGCAACTCTAAACTAAGGAATATTCTTCCAAAAAGAAAATAAAAGACATTCTTCTAAAAGTTCAGATCAAGGAACAAAAACAAAGTTCAAGAATTTCTCCAGATGTAAAAGCACTAAAGACAATGAAATCCTCATTGTGATCATGGGTTGGAGCCCAGTAACAAATTCCTGTTACTCCTCCTTTTGAACCTTTACTCTATATTTTTATTTTCTATTGATACTTTTTGTTTACATCTATATTTTAGATGACTTCTAGACTTAAAAAGATAATAGCCAATAACTTGAATATATTGTTTCTCTGAATGGCCTTTTTTTTTTTTTTGATACCTCCTGTGTTCAGCACTGTAACCTCCTCACTCCCAAATAAGTAGTTTTTGAGCCATTGTGTTTGCTAGGTGCCAGCATGATTTCGTGTTTTAACTGATGTAATAGTCACCATACATCTTATAGAAAGAAAAGTCAAGCTATAAACACATTATTGTGAGAACCAATAAAATTTGCATATGGAATGTTTAGATTCCTAATTTTGATAACTGTTCTTTAGTTTTATAAAGGGTGTCTCTTTAACCTTAGGAAATAGATGCAAAAGTATTTGCATCTAAATGTAAGGGCCGTTATGTCTCCAACTTCCTCTTACTCTGAAATTGTTTTTAAAATTCTTATATATACATGTTTTGTGTGAAATAAAAGAGAAAAAGAGAAGGAAAACAAATGACGAAAGGTAAATCGTTGGTGAATCTAGGCAGGTATATAGGAATTTCTTGTTTCATTCCCATAACTTCTCTATAATTTTGAAATATCAAATTAGAAAGAAAGAAAGAAAAAACTTAGAAGACTCCTACAAAAGTGGATGGTAAGTTTAAGGCTACAACTGGCTGACAGATGGGGCTGGTTCCTCCGGAGAATGGATTTTTATAGAAGGGCTATTTTTTTTTGTAGAGCAGTTACTTCTGTGCGATCCAATCAAAGCAGTTTTAAGGAAGCTTATAATGAGGATCCCAAAGCTACCTGGAATTACATTCCTAATAACTACAAATTGACTTTCACTGCAAATAGAAGAAGCTTTCATTCAAAGAGCTGCTCCAAAGCAACTCTTCACACCCAGCTGACTATCCCACAGCCTACTTTTCTAAAATAATTAGATTATTTGCAAGCTTAGCTCTGTTATTTGCCCCCAAATTATCCATATGTCTATATTATATTCAAAACACTCTGAGCCATCAGCTATCCTAAATTTTTTCCTGTTTCAGAAAAAAAAAGCTGTTTATTTTTCCAAATTCAACTTCCATCCTTCCAAGAGCAATTATTTTCCTGGGCCATCCATCTCATACTGCCAGGCCTCCTCAATAAAGATTGCATTCTGTTTCATCACCCACAAATTCCTGTTACTCCTCCTTTCAAATCTTTACTCTACTTTTTATTTTCTATTGATATTTTTTCTATTTGTTTACAGTTATATTTTAGATGACATCTATACTTTAAAAAAATAGCCAATAAAAAAAGTTCGCTTGAATATATGGTTTCTTTAAATGGGCGTTTTTTTTTGTTTTTTTTTTGTACCTCCTCTTTTCAGCATTGTAACCTCCTCACTCTCAAATAAGTAGTTTACAATCCATTAGGTTTGCTAGGTGCCAGCATGATTTCCTGTTTTAATTGATTTCATAGTCACCATTCATCTTATAGTTTGATGCTGCCAATTAACCTCATTTTACAGAGGAGAAATTTAAAGAAACTTAAAGACATTCATTTGTCCAAAGTCATGTAGTTAATTAGTGGGGGAGGTGGGTTTTGAATCAGGGTGTTTGACCCCAGAACATACTGTGTTATTCAGTATATTATGTTCTGCAACACTGAATTATTATATCAGCATTCAATCTGATTTCTTTCCTCGGTGCCAACTTGAGAAAAACTCTCTTGAAGTTGACCATGGCTTTTCTCAGTGTCTTCAGGGCTTGCCATTGTTAAGAAACAGCATAGCATTGTAGTTTTAAAGCTTAGCCACTATAGCAGGAAAAAAAATGAGTTTGAATCATAACTGTGCTACTTCCTAGTTGTGTGATTTTATCATTCACCATCCTAAGCCAGGTCTTTTAACTGTATTAAATGGAAGTCAGAGTACAATCGACTTCACATAGTTTCCTTTAAGATTTAAATTAAATGCCCTCATGCATTAGAGAGCATTTATCACAGTGCTTAACATTGTTAAGTTGGCCACACCTACATTTCAATAAATGGTAGCAATGATTCATTAGCAGACTTCCCTTGCTTTCCATACACTAGCTTGGCTCATGTACTTCTTCACCATTTCTATATGACTCCCACGCCCTTTCTACTCTTTCAATCTTCAAAATCACCTTTGTCTCTCTACATATATTTTCTTACATTTATTTGTCTAGAAATACTGCTGCAATTATCACATTATTGTAGGTGACTCTGAATCAGTTTCTTGGTCTCTGAATCCTCTCTAATATTCAGAATTAATTAACCATTTCCACTAATTCAAATGTTCAAATGTTGCTAGTAAAAAACAAAAAACAAAAACAAACAACAACAACAACAACAAAAAACTTGGCAGCCTCCAAAATGACACATGAATTATCTGATAAATTGTTTTGGTACTCCCACACCCATCTACCTCTTGGTTCTTTGCCCATCTTCTTACACATCATTTTGAATTGTCCTTTCATCTACATCCCCATTAGAAAGATCAATGAAAATATGACCAGTGCAGCATGATGCTAACTTTTGCAGTAGACTGGGCATGTCAAAATTATAGGCAGTAATCAATCTCAGGCACATATGAGTTAGGAATGTAAGGGGTACAGGGTTTCAGGAAGGCCGTTCTAAATATGGAGAATGATTAATTTTCTTTGGGCACATACTCCGTAATGGACTGCTGGGGCAAATAGTAGTTCTCTTTTAAGTTCTTTGAGAAATCTCCAAACTGGTTTCCATAGTGGCTAGACTAATTTACCTTGCCATCAACAATGTATAAGCGTTCCCTTTTCTTCACAACCTCACCAGCACCTGTTATGGTTTGACTTAAAAATTTTTTTAAGTTTTTTATTTTTTTGAGATGGAGTCTTACTCACTCTGTTGCCCAGACTGGAGTGCAGTGGCACAGTCTCTGCTCACTGCAAGCTCTGCTCCCAGCTTCAAGTGTTTCTCCTGCCTCAGCCTCCCGAGTAGCTGGGATTACAGGTGTGCACCACCATGCCTGGCTAATGTTGGTATTTTTAGTAGAGACCGGATTTCACTATGTTGGCCAGGCTGGTCTTGAACTCCTGATTTCAAGTGATCCACCTGCCTCGCCCTCCCAAAGTGTTGGGTTTACAGGCGTGAGCCACCATGCCCAGCCTGCTTGACTTTTTCTTTTTTTTTTTTTTTTTTTTTTTTTAGACACCAAAGAATTTGTTGTGTTTATTTCAATTTATATGAAGTTTTAAGACAGGAAAAGCAAAAGCATATAGTATAGAGGGGTACATTTGTAGGTGATAAAACTTGAAAGCAAAGTGAGGAAGTGCTCACCATCTGAGGCAGAATAGTGGCTTCCTTGACCAGGGGCGTTGCAGGGAGGGAGGGAAAGAGGCATGAGTAAGGCTTCCGGCCAGGGAGCTGGCCATGTTCTATTTCCAGATTGTGGTGGTAATTAGGTTGGTATTTGCTTCAAATGATTAGTTAAGGTGAATATTTGTTTCATATGTTTTTCTGCATGAATATTATATTTAATAATAATAATCTTTTGAAAAGAAAAAAAGTACCCTCCAATTTTGACCCAGTGGCCTATATATTCTTTCCCAAGGCAGCTACAGATAGTCTGTCCATACAAACACGTGCACTCATTCACAGGCACACACACACACACACACACACACACACACACACACACCCCAACACCCGTATATCCATTTTTAAACTGAAATATTAGCATACAAAATTTCCAGCACTTGCTTTTCTCACACTACCTGACTTCAAACTATACTACAAGGCTACAGTAACCAAAACAGCATGGTACTGGTACCAAAACAGAGATATAGATCAATGGAACAGAACAGAGCCCTCAGAAATAATGCCACATATCTACAACTATCTGATCTTTGACAAACCTGAGAAAAACAAGCAATGGGGAAAGGATTCCCTATTTAATAAATGGTGCTGGGAAAACTGGCTAGCCATATGTAGAAAGCTGAAACTGGATCCCTTCCTTACACCTTATACAAAAATCAATTCAAGATGGATTAAAGATTTAAACGTTAGACCTAAAACCATAAAAACCCTAGAAGAAAACCTAGGCATTACCATTCAGGACATAGGCGTGGGCAAGGACTTCATGTCCAAAACACCAAAAGCAATGGCAACAAAAGCCAAAATTGACAAATGGGATCTAATTAAACTAAAGAGCTTCTGCACAGCAAAAGAAACTACCATCAGAGTGAACAGGCAACCTACAACATGGGAAAAAATTTTCGCAACCTACTCATCTGACAAAGGGCTAATATCCAGAATCTACAATGAACTCAAACAAATTTACAAGAAAAAAACAAACAACCCCATCAAAAAGTGGGCGAAGGACATGAACAGACACTTCTCAAAAGAAGACATTTATGCAGCCAAAAAACACATGAAGAAATGCTCATCATCACTGGCCATCAGAGAAATGCAAATCAAAACCACTATGAGATATCATCTCACACCAGTTAGAATGGCAATCATTAAAAAGTCAGGAAACAACAGGTGCTGGAGAGGATGTGGAGAAATAGGAACACTTTTACACTGTTGGTGGGACTGTAAACTAGTTCAACCATTGTGGAAGTCAGTGTGGCGATTCCTCAGGGATCTAGAACTAGAAATACCATTTGACCCAGCCATCCCATTACTGGGTATATACCCAAAGGACTATAAATCATGCTGCTATAAAGACACATGCACACGTATGTTTATTGCGGCACTATTCACAATAGCAAAGACTTGGAACCAACCCAAATGTCCAACAATGATAGACTGGATTAAGAAAATGTGGCACATATACACCGTGGAATACTATGCAGCCATAAAAAATGATGAGTTCATGTCCTTTGTAGGGACATGGATGAAATTGGAAACCATCATTCTCAGTAAACTATCGCAAGAACAAAAAACCAAACACCGCATATTCTCACTCATAGGTGGGAATTGAACAATGAGATCACTTGGACACAGGAAGGGGAATATCACACTCTGGGGACTGTGGTGGGGTCGGGGGAGGGGGGAGGGATAGCATTGGGAGATATACCTAATGCTAGATGACACGTTAGTGGGTGCAGCGCACCAGCATGGCACATGTATACATATGTTGACTTTTTCATAATAGCCATTTTGTCTGGTGTGAGATGGTATCTCACTGTGGTTTTGATTTGCGTTGCTCTGATGATTAGTGATGACTATTTTTTCTTATGTTTGTTGGCCGCTTATATGTTTTCTTTTGAGAAGTATCTGTTCATGTCCTTTGCCCATTTTTTAAGGGGAGTATTTGATTTTTGCTTGTTGATTTGTTTAAGTTCCTTATAGATTCTGTATATTAAACCTTCGTCAGATGCAGTTTGCTAGTATTTTCTTCCATTCTGTAGGTTGTCTGTATACTCTGTTGACAGTTTATTATGCTGTGCAGAAGCCATTCACTGTAAAGACACATGCACTTGTATGTTCATCACTGTGTGACTCACAATAACAAAGACATGGAATCAACTTAGGTGGCCATCAATGGTGGATTGGATAAAGAAAATGTGATACATACACACCATGGAATACTATGCAGCCATAAAAGAGAACAAAATCTTTTGTAGACGTGTTTCTTTGCAGCAACATGGATGTAGCTGGAAAGCCTTTGCTTTCCAAGTAATTTATGCATTTTATCAAAATTGTCAAATTTTCTGGAATGCAATTCTTTACAACTTTCACTTAGTATAATTTTTGAAATTTTAATGTTTGTGGGTACATAGTACATACATTTATGGAGTAGACATGATGTTTTGATAAAGGCATGCAATGTGAAATAAGCACATTATGGAGAATAGGATATCCGTCACCTCAAGCATTTATCCTTTGAGTTACAAACAATTCAATTACACTCTTGCTTAGCATAATTTTAATGTCAGTAGTGACATTTTATTTTCATTACTAATAATGTTTGTTTTGCCTTCTCTTTTTTCAGTTTGGCTGCAAATGTATAAGGGTCACTGCTCCTATCAGAACCTACTTTTTGTTTTATTGATTTGCTCTATTGTTTTTTATTTTCTATTTCATTGATTCTTGCATTTAACTGTATTTTTTTTTCTTAACACTTGCTTGGCATTTAGGTTTCACTTCTTTTCTACTTTCTCATGGTGAAAGACTAGATCACTGAGATCTTTCTTGTTTTCTGATATAGAATGTAATGGTATATTTCCTTCTTGGCACTGTTTTGAGTATGTGCTGTAATTTTTTTTATATGTTTCATTTTCAATATAATTGAATCTAAAATATTTTCTATTTTCCCTTTTGATTTTCTCTATGACTCACAGGCTATGTAAAAATGTTGTTTAATTTTCAAATATTTGAGAGTTATCAATGTATGTTTTTATTAATTCCTATCTTAATTCCATTTTGCTCACAAAAGTACTTTACATGATTTTGATTCTTTATACTTTGTGAAAATTTATTTTATGGACAAGGATATGGCCCGTCTAAATGAATATTCCATGTGTGCTTAGAAAGAATATATTTTCTGCTGTTTAGGGTGAACTATTCTATAAATGTCAATTAGGTCAAGGCATTTCATAGTATTGTTTGGTCTTCTGTATTCTCAGTGATTTTTCTCTTTGTCTGTTTTATTAACTGTTGAGAAATTAATGCTGAAATATACAACAGTAATTGAGGGCTTGTAGATTTTTTCTGTCAGTTCTAATAGTTTTGCTGCATGCACTTTGATGTGTGATTGCTACATGCACAGATATTTAGGGTTGTTATATAATTCTTAGTAAATTAATTTCTTTATTATTATGTACCATAACTTTTCTGCTTGGTAGAATTCCTTCTTCCAAAGTCTACTTGGTTCAATATTAATATTTTGCAAGGTATATCTTTCCTCATTATTTTACCTTTCACCTGTCTTTATATTTAAAATATTTAAAGCACATTTCTTATCATTAGCATACAATTGTTTCTTTTTTATTTTAAAAAATTATCTTTTGATGATACTGAATACCATTTACATTTAATATAATTGATGTAATTTTTATTAAAATGCACTACACTCCTAGTTGCTTGATATTTGTTCCTTCTGACCTTTGCTTTTTTCTTCAATTTTTTTTATGATTTGTGATTAACATAAATTTATTAGTGATTCCATTTTATGTCCACTCTTAGCTTATTTGTTATACCACATTTTCCTTTTTTTTTTTAAATTTTAGTGATTGCTCTGTGGTATCCAATAAACATATGTAACTTACCACAAGTTCATTCTGTCTGAAGAAATACGTTGAATATTTCTTATGGTGTATTACATTTTCTCAGCTCTTGTTTGTCTGAATAAATTTAAATTTCCACTTTAATGTTTCAAAGATATCTTCACTGGTATAGAATTCTAGGTTAACAGGTTTTGCTTATTTGTTTGTATTGTGTGTTTGCTTTTTCCTTTCAACAGTTTAAAGGTGTCACTCCATTGTCTTCTGTCTTGCATAGTTTCTGACAAATAGTCTGTTATAATTTTGAATTGGTAGTGTCTATTGTCTGGCTGCCTTCTCAGCATTGTTTTATAGATCCATACACTGTGGCCAATTTTAATAAGCTTTTCTCTTTGTATTTCAACTTGGTTAATTAAAAAAATATTTCTTCAAGCTTGCTAATTTCTTCTTTGATTCTGTTGAATCTACTCATGAGACTAAGGGTTTTTGCATCTGTGATCTTTTTTATTTATTATATTAAAATTTTACCTAGTCAAATTGTTTCTATTATCATACAGAACTTCTCAATCTATACATATATGCTGTCCATTTTTTAACTAAATCCTTTAAAAATATTAACTATAGGGAGTATAAAATTCCTATTTCAATGTAGCCACTATAATATACTCCCTGAGTTTTTTTGAATTCTTTCTCTATAAAAAATGGTTATTTTATCTTCCTTTATTTGAATTTTATAATTTTTGAAATCAAATACCTTATATAATGTGTAGAAGAATACAGACTGAAGCAAACAGTATTAACACCTGCAAATACTATTCTATATGCAGTTTGTAGGAGTGTTAAGTCAATCTTGTCAGGATTTGAGCTGAGTTTGGGTTTGTGATTGCTATGGTTACCTTCACTGCAATGTAGGCTTCAAATTTCACTAAAGATTTTCTTGCACTGGGAGCTGGGGAGCTAATAGGTTTGGGTTTTTTGTGGTCCACCTTCAGCTTTTAGCTAGCCCTGAACATCTGTGCCACATAGGATTCTCTCTTGAAGCTCTGTCCCTCCAAGAGCAATAGATTCCATTTACTATGTAATAAAAGCTTGGAAGGTTAGTGGTGAGAGGCTGAAGAGGTCTGTGTGTTATTGTCCAACCACAATCTTAAATGAGCTACATGTGTCTGGGTCTTAGAATTAGGGAATTTTTGGAATTCTTGCTGCTTTTCCCTAAGGCAGGCAAATCTTGTTTTGTATCTATGGTGGAGCTTTTCTGAAAGAGTTTTCTATTTCTCCCCAGTAGGAGAGCTCAAACTGTCTTTCTGAGGTGAGAGGGGTTCTTTATCCTACCTTTTCCTCAGCAGCAATACCTATTTTTCCCCTGTATATGACATGGTTTTATGCCCCTCACTTAGTTCCATATGAGAGAATACAACGTGCAAGGGGTGGGGTTTCATGCTTTTCCTGAAATACAGACTGGTCCCTCCTGTATCTATCAGGGTTCAAACAGAGAAATAGAACCACAAATACATAAATCCAGATTCATTACAGGAATGTGACCTTAATCCATTGTGGGAGATTTTGTCTTTGCATCAAATGCTGGAGCTGGAAATCTATCAGCCAAGCAGTTGGGAAGGGAAGACGGATGAAAAGTAGAGAGATCAAGAACATGTTGGAATCCCAACCACAGTCCAGAGTCTCAATAGGATAAACTAAAACCCTGTCCATTTTTGTTGCTTTTGAACTTGATGATTTGAGTGTCCTACAGAAGCTGGGCCATTCTTCCCAAAGCTAAGTACACACCTAGCCCAGGGTCAGAGAAGCTGAAGGATGCAGGGAAAAATAAGGAAACTTCCTGCTGCAAAGGTAAATTAGCCTAATAATAATGTGGGTGAGCTGCAAAACGACTGCTGACTTTCTTCCTCTCTCTTAGTCTCCTAATAATACCTCTTGCCACCCTCTTTAACTGGAAACAGTAACAGTAATTCAAGGAAATGTAATTTACTCTGGCCAAGGTGATACAATATAAAGCCTCCACATCCTCTTCTACTTCTGCACCTCTCTGATCTCCCACCTTACCTTTAGTCTTATTATGTGTACTCAGTGTCGTTTCTCAGGGTCATAAAAAAGAGTCTGGAAGTAAGTATAAACAACACTTGTGTTAGGAAATCCCAGGAATTCTATACTGCCATGCTAGCTCACACTGGCTTTGTGATTCTGTAACTCATATAGGTTTCTCTCTTTATGAGGTTGAGAGTGGTACTGTTTCAAAATTCCTATAAGCTAGACAGAAGCAGAATATCCAGTCTCCAGATACTGTCTCACTAGTTCCCAAATTCAACTGTTTTGGATATGGTGTCAAATTATTTAAAATATATTTTCTTCTCCTTTTTATGTCTCCCATGTAGGGGCTCCCTGAGTATCTTTTCTATTGGATACAAATTTGGGTTTGAAACACTTATCAAGTGGTGTAAGATTTAAACCTGCCTATTTTTAAATAAAGAATCTTGTCATATATAAGAGGGTGTGGTAAAGACTTGAATTAACGACAGTTCAACAATTCCTATAAGGAAAAACACGGATGGTAGTTTAAGTTGAATACAAATTCAACTGATGTGACTGTGAAAATAAATCAATGTTTGTTCCAGTCACCTCAACAGAAGAATATTGTCAGGAATAGATATTGACAATGGGGAATGAGTTAAAGAACAAGTAAACAGGAGGTCTAAAAACAATGCCTTAGGAAAAATAATTATGGTAATTAAGAATATTATACTTGGAGAAAAAGAGGCTTGGGAGAATCTCAAATTTATGACGCTTGTCATAAGGAAGACAATCTGTTCCGTCTAACCCCATGGGAGAGAAAAATGACTA
Source organism: Homo sapiens (assembly GCF_000001405.40). Taxonomy (NCBI): domain Eukaryota; kingdom Metazoa; phylum Chordata; class Mammalia; order Primates; family Hominidae; genus Homo; species Homo sapiens. The sequence goes on along the minus strand of NC_000011.10, from coordinate 104,670,523 downwards.
AAGGATAGTATTTACAATGAGGTGAATGTTGATTCAGTATCAGAACTAAAAATATCAATTAAAATAGGCTAACTTGTGAAATAGTGCAATACCACTGGAAATGTTCCGGCAAAATTTGAATGCTTCCGGCTTCAGTTATTCAGCCTGGAGTAGGATAGCAGCTTAATAGATATTTATGTGAGAATCACCTGGAAAATGTTTTAGAAATACACAAACCTGAATCCTTAATAAGAGATACTGATTTAAATAAGTCTAGGGAGGCTACCAAAAACTGTATCTTAAAATTTGTGAAGAGATTCTGACAGCCTTTCCATGAGAATCTCTGGAATGTGGAGCTAGGAGAAATAGATAAGAAACGGGTTTGTGGTTCTAAAATCTGCCTTCACAATAGGATAAATGAGAAAGTTAATCAAATATACTGTCAGGGCTTTATATCCCAGAGATTCTGATTTAACAGAGGTAGAATTGGGCTTGGGCATCAATATATTATTATTATTATTATTTTTGAGATGGAGTTTTGCTCTTGTTGCCCAGGCTGGAGTGCAATGGCACGATCTCAGATCTCTGCAACCTCCACCTCCCAGATTCAAGTGATTCTTCTGCCCTAGCCTCCTAAGTAGCTGGGATTACAGGCACCTGCCACCATGCTCGGCTAAATTTTTTGTATTTTTAGTAGAGACGGGGTTTCACCATGTTGGTCAGGCTGGTCCCAAACTTCTGACCTCAGGTAATCCACCCGTCTCAGCCTCCCAAAGTGCTAGGATTACAGGCATGACCAACCATGCCTGGTGGGCATCAGTATTTTTTAAAATCTTTCTAGATGAATCTAAAATACTGCCAAGGTCAAGAATCAGCAGACCAAATGATCTCCAGGACCAAATAAAACTCTCTATTTCAAGTATCTTTTAAGTAGACTGAATTTTTGTCTTTAAAATCCAGAGATATAATATAACTGCATTCGAGTCAACACATTCTTCTTCTGAGGTTGGTAAGCATAAAGGTAAATCAATAAAACCATCTTGCTTTGACCCATTTTCTGCAGTTGTCCTTTTCCAAAATTGCTCTTCCATTTACTTAGCTGAGTAACAATTACTGCCCCAATTCGTCCAATTCTGTAACTCTTAGTGGCTGCTCTAATCCTGACTTTCTTTTATCCCTGTGATCTTCAGCCATGTGCTTTCTTGTTTTATATATTCTTTTGAAGCATACTGTTTATCTGGTTGAATGTACCAATAGTAACAGCATTCTTTGTGGCTGAGTCATTAACCACTAAGCATTTCCAAACTTTCATTTATGTGTCAGTCATAAACCCTTTTATCTTGAGCAAACAGAGATACTTCTAGAAGATACACTTCATGATGACATATTTCTCATCTACAATAAAGACCCACAAGTGGATTTCTAATTTTTACCCAAATTCCGAACATTTCAACTGTCACTTACAAGTCGCTAATGATCTACCATCCCACTTATTGTCTGTAGTTACCTCTTGCTACTTTTCCCATCATTTACTCTACTCCAGGTCCATGGGCATTCTTGCAGTTCCTCTTGCTTACCCAGAACACTCTTCCTCTCTAAAGTCTTTGCTCATGTGGTTCTTTCTGCCCGATTCATATTTATTGAAGAAGTATATAACACTCTTTAACACTCTTCTCTCTAACTGTATGTGACCCAGTTAGCGATGCCTTCCCTGAGCAATCTATGTAAAACATAATTCTCTTCTCTCTATCCCTCTTACTCTCTGTATTTTCCTTCATAGCACTCATGACTTATACTGTAACTTTAATTAATTAATTTATTTCTCTCTATCATCTTCTAACTAGTAGATAAGCTCCAATGGAGGCCGGGATTCAGTAGGTTTTGATTACTGGTTAATCCCCAATGCTCATATCAGTGCCTTACACATGGTAAATGCTCAGTAAATATTTTTGGGATGAATGAATAAGTGAGAGAATGAATAATGAAAAAGTTTCAGTCTGGGAGTTTATGATTTGCCAGTCCATCTAGGACTAGTATTTGAGCTAGGTCTGGGTGTTCAGGACTCCTCCTTTCCTCTGTACCAACGTCACTGGTGGCTGAGAGAAGAGTCAGTATGAGGAGGAGTAAAGGGATTTGAAAGTTAGAGTAGAGCTTTAGATTTTCAATATTTTAGTAATGGTTGTGAAGCTGTGTACTAGTTAATTTAACTCATAATGGAATACACAAGAGAGTCATAGTGGAAAAATATGGAGGCATGCAAAACTACAAGTAATAGGAGACATAATTTTCAGACCACGCACCACAAAGGTGCATGCTGTGTGGTGCTAAACTTTCAAGGTAGAATATTATGTTGGTTTTCACAAAGTATTTCCCTAAAGCAATAAACATAGTAATTCAATTATCTGTTCCGTTTAATTACTGGGTAATATGCTTAACTGATATACTATAATTCCAGTCCTGTTAAATGTAACAAATCTCTGGTGTAAAATAATTTTAACAATCAACATAAAAATAGTGAGCACATTAGTGTTATTTTATATTCTGCATAGACCTTTCAGTTTAGCTGAACCTATAATTAAAACTTATATTACAAATATGAATGGTTTGTATACATAAGTGGTTTGCATTAAAACAGCTACCCTTACAAATACATTGTAAAGATACATTTATCAGGTAAATGAACTTGACTTGAAGTTTCTCTGGAGAACACAATTCAAATAAAAATGTTTGAGCCAGTGTGTCTCTGTTTACGGATTAACATTGCTACTGTACATGTAATGTATTTACCAATGCTAGTTAACCCTTGTTAGTTTCTAGCATCTCTCCTAATTCTTTTCATAACCCTTTGTTAAAAGCATTGGCCTTAGTCAAATGCTTTCCCATTCTCTATATTATAAAGTCATATATCAACTCTTATAAAACTCTGTATAAATTTGAATTTCTTGTTTTGACTCATTACCAAATTTTGTTTCAATTAGACTTATATAAAACATTATATACATAAAGACAATTGACATGGACAAATAAATATATAATGAAATATCCCTGAATATATCTAAGCCAAGCATACTTTAAATGCAATGCAGCGGTGTAGATAAAAAAGTAGAACTATGTCGGACCTTACTTTGTGAACTAAACTTAAAATCATTTTTGTATTAAGTAAGTCAAGCACATTAATATTTATTAATATGAGTTATATGCTTGGTCTCAATTCTGTCATATTTTAAAATCATCATTATTATACTTAAAAAAAGAAAAGAAAGAGGAAGAGGAAGAAGAAGAGGAGGACATTGAAAATGTGAATTCCCATTATACATTGGAGCAAAGGTGAGAAGATGATAAATTACAATACAATATCCAGTGCAAAGAGATACAGATATATACATATCATATTGACAAAGGGGTGGAAATGAGTCAGTTGGAGGGCATGGAAACTACAAAACCTGTTTTAAGTCCTATTGCAACTTTAATTTTTCTAAGCTTCAGTCTCTTCATCTGTAAAATGGCATTAATAATATTTGTGCTACATGCATCACCAGGTTATTTTTAGAGTTCAGTAGGAATTGAATAATGAAAGGCTTTATGGCTATAAATCATGAGAAGGCTACTGAATTAGCTGTTTGATATTCTCTTGCTCAGAATTCATCTCAACTTAACCAGTCCTTCAATCGGCACAGGGAATCAAATTTTACAAAAGATGGACTGTGTCATGGCAACACATATGGCTTGAATCATGATCTTGTCGTCCCTCAAGATGCATGACTGTTCCCTGCATTCACATTTCAAACTGCAGCCAGTCTCAAGCCATCTATGTCTCTCCTGTATACATCAGATACTTTTCTTCAAATCATTTTCTAAGCCTATTTTCAGAGTCTTCAAGAAGATACCTAATGCCCTACAAATTGCATGCATTAGTTTATTTTAAGTTAATACAGCTTATTTTTGAGAAAATTTATAGGTCTACAGAAAAATGGAGCAGAAAGCACAAAATTTTTATAACCTCCCACCCCACGACATACACACAGTTTCCCCTACTATTGATATATTGCATTACTGTGGTGCATTTGTTATAAGTGATTAAGCAATATTGATACATTTTATTAAATAAGTTCTATAGTTTTCATTAGAAGTCACTAGTGATGTACATTCTATGGGTTTTGACAAATGTATAATGACATGTATCCACCCTTATAATACCACAGAGAATAATTTCACTCTCCCTCTAATGCTCTGTGTTCCACCTATTTATTTCTGCCTCCTTCTCTCCCTGTACCCCCACACACCAGGCAATCACTTTTTTATTTTATTTTTTTACTGTCTCTATACAGTTTTCTCTTTCCCAGAATATCACATAGTTACAATCATATAGTATGTAGAGCTTTCACATTGCCTTCTTTCACTTGGTAATAGACACTTACGTTTTATCTATGTCCTTCTATGGCTTGATAACTCCTTTCTCTTTAGTGCTAAATAATAGTCCATTGCCTGTATATATAACAGGCTATTTATTCATTCACTTATTGAAAGACAGCTTGGTTGCTTCCATTTTTTTGGCAATTATAAATACAGCTGCTATAAATGTTCATATGCAGGTCACTGTGTGGGCATAAATTTTAAGTCATTTGGGTAAATATCACAGAGTGAATTGCTGGATCATGTGGTAAAACTCTGTTTAGCTTTGTAAGAAACTGCCAAACTGTCTTCCAAAGCAGCTGTACTATTTTGCAATCACCAGCAATGAGTAGAATTTCCTTTCGCGCTTCCTTCTTGTCAGTATTTGGTGTTGTCAGTGTTCTGAATTTAAGTCATTTTAATAGGTGTGTAGAGGTGTCTCGTTGTTTGAATTTTCAGTTTCCTAATGGCATATAATGTGGAACATCTATTTATCTTTGTTTTGCTTGCCATCTGCTTATCTTCTTTGATGAGATGTCTCTTCAGATCTTTTGCCCATTTATTTATTGGGTTGTTTGCTTACTATTGTTGAATTTTAAGACTTCTTTGTACATTTTGGATAATAGTCCTTTTTCAGGTATGTGTTTTGCAAATATTTTCTCTCATCCTGTGGCTTCTTTTTTTAAATCTCTCAATTCATTGACTTGTCACTCAGGAAAAGCACTAGCCTTTAAGTGAAACATCAAAAGTGAAAAATATATTGAACGTGTCAGGCACTGTGCAAAAAACATAATGGTGAATGAGACAATCCTTTTATTCAAGAAGCTTAGTAAACAAAGAAAGAGATAGAAAAAAAAAGATGATTAATCCATAATGTGTGTTACAACAAGGATGATAAAGAGGGTATATTCAAGGTGCACATAACAGCCCATGGAGAATCAGGCAAGTCTTCCTGGAGGAGGTGCCTTCAGATCTGAAATTTAAAATATGTTTAATAATGGGTAAGGAGTAGACTTTGCAGAAAATGCATGTGTTATGAGGCAAGACATTAAAAAGAGAAACAGCATGGTTTGGAAAGGGTACCACTAGCCTTTTGGTATTTGAGTCAGGGAATGATGAGCAACGAGATTGGAGGGCTGAGATGGAAATAGATAGTGGGGACCCTCATATTCCCAATTAGAGAGATTGATCTGCATCCAAGAGGTGTCTTGGAGTATTTAGAGAAAATTAAACACTAAGTAAAATTGTGAATTCTCCTATCAAGAAAGAAAGGCAGAGAGAATAAAGCATAGATCATCCCTTCCTCTGTTTATGTTGCTATGCAAGAAAGCCTAAATCTGGGTAATTTATAACGAAAAGAGGTTTATTTGGCTCATGATTCTGCTGACTATACAGGAACCACGGCACCAGCACCTGCTTCTGATGAGGGTCTCCGACTGCTTCTGTTCATGGCACAAGGTGAAGGACAGCCAGTGTGTAAAGAGCACATGGCAAGAGAGAGGAAAAGTGGGGATCCACCCCCACGACCCAAACACCTTTCACCAGGACCCATCTCCAACTTTGGGGAACAAATTTTAATGTGAGATTTGGTGGAGACAAATGTTCAAACCATACCAGATAACTCACAACATCTGCCACTATGCTTCTGTTAAGGAAAAAGGTAAGATTAAAAAAAATAGTTTGTGTCTTAAGGAATATGTGTAAGTTCACCAGCAAAGCATGGATGCCTAATCTGGTAAACAATAATAGAAGGAAACGAAAAGTAAGCTTTCATATGCAACTGAAAACTTGAGGAAAAGGCAACAAATTTAGTTCAGTAAAAGGATGGGTTTTCCTCTCTAGCTTTGTGAAAAAAGCCTACTGGTTAATTAGTACAAACGTATTCATTTTAATATCCAGCTCTGTCCATGATTTGAATATACAATGATCATAGTAGCAATTCTTCTTTCCTTATCATTTTATATTATTTTACAAAGCTCAAAGTTAACGTCAGAGGATATTTCTTCAGGACTCCACAATAGTTAAAATGGAAGAGATAAATTTGCATTTAAAAATTTCAGACGTTTCTGCCAAAGTTCACCTTCACTGAGTAGCTCATTTACCTCAAGACTTTATTTAAAGGCAATTGTGCCTGAGAGCATCAGAAATTGTAATGTGGTCTCATTAAAAACCTCAGCACAGCTAAACTCCCATGGAGGATGGAGGAAACTGGAAGAGGCATTCCTTTTATTCTGACCACAGGTAAACAAAAAATTTCACAAGTTTTCATGAACCCATCAGAAAACTGATGTTACATGACAATCAAATAGACTAAAATCTGATGAGATAGGAGTTCCCTGGATGAGACAGGACATGAACCCAGGATTACTTGGCAGAACACTAGAGAAAGACATGCCAGTTGGGCAACAAACCAGTAAGGATTCAGCTCCATGTTCCCCAGATTCCTAAAGGGCAGGAAGAGGCTCATTAAGAGCATGATGTCACATCATCATGTGGCTCTCTGGGAGCCACAGACACAGGGGTACTTTACTCACATTCACAAGCTCTTCTTCATGAACCTCCACTGGGTGCTCGCCAAAACGACTGGGACCAGGCAAAAAGGCTCTGGTGGTACATGCCTAGTAAGGCAGTTTCTTACAAAGTTAAACATATACCTGAACTACAATTGAGCAATCCAACTTCTCTAAGTATTTACCCAAGAGAAAGAAACACTTTTATTCACACACTATCTTATATGCAAATCTTTATAGTGGTGTTAGTCATAACTAGCCAAAACCTCTAAATATCCTAAATAGTGAATGGATAAACAAACTGATGCATCCGTACAATGGCATACTAGTCAGCAACTAAAAGAACTAAACTTCTGTTGTACTCTGCAGCATGGATGAATCTCACATTCATTATACTAAGTACAAGAAGGCAGAATGGAAAGGTTTCATACTAAAATAATTTCATTTATATTACATACTGGAAAAGACAAAAGTATAGGAATGGAAAAATGAATCAGTGCCTTCCATATACTGGGGTGGGGTTACAATTTGGTCGCAAGGGAGCATGAATGAATTTTTAGGGTGATGAAATTAAACTATTCATTATTTTGATTGTGTTGGTGGCTACACAAATGCATGCTTTTGCCAAAATCAAGAATTGTGCCCCCAGATGAGTGAATTTTACTGTATGCAAGTTATGCAAAAATGGAAATAAAATAATAAAGACTCATCTTCTTTGAAAATAAATTGCAACTGTACCTCATTTGATGAGTGAAAAGGCAAGCATGCAAATTAATTTTAGTTTTAGAGGTCAACCAAACTCCAAATTTACAGTTCTCATCATCATTCTTCTCTTTTCTTTAAAACTGAGCCATAAGTGGCTAAACAGTCTATTTGGAAAGCCCAATTCAAAATAGCAAGTTGAATTGATTGGGAATGCAATTTGGGCCTATATGTATAAATTTGCAGCAATACTCTAGAAATACTATTAAAAAATATAAAATACTGTGAACAAAATATTACATATTACGTTTAGTAAAAGGAATCAGAATTCTATATTATTTCAATCAGCCTTTTATTTTTAGGACAAATAAAGACCTGCAATAAGTGCTGCTCCCATGTAAAAAATGTTGTAGTAAGATCACGTAAGATTCAAGCCAGATAGGTTATATTTTGTGTGTGTGCACGTGTGTGTTTGTGATTAGTTTACATTTTCATGAACTGTTAACTGTGACAATATCTCTACTACAGGTTAAATTTGCCAGGAAATGCAAAACTAGGCAGTGCCCTTAGTCACCTCAAAAACAGACACATATGCCATCTACAATTTCCTCCTCATTATTAGTTGCATGGAGGAAATGCAACTGGGCCTGTTGTTTTGAGTGACAAAAAATAAAGATTTAAATTATGTGTTTTTTGTTCAAACACTGCAGAAAATAATAAATATCTTTGTTCCTAGTCTGGCACAAGGAAACACTATTGACCACCTGAAATCACAGATGTCATATGGGGCCCAATTGCTTTCTCCACAGTGCATGGACTACTTGGCAGGCTCCTTCAGAAGCAGTTGGTGAAACTAGTAGCTCTTGAACTGCCTTGAGGGCCGTCATATGCCTTGGTGGTTGTTGAATTAATGATCCTCTCAGCTCTCCTGACCCCAAATTCTTCCCTGAGTTTATCAAGCTAAATAAATAAATGAATTAACATAAAATAAATGTAAAATCATTTTACAATTTCAGTGGTCTCATGAACTTAAATGGCAATCATTTCCAGATTTAATGGTTCATTATTGAATAAAATAAAGTCAAGCAAGTGAAAGTGAACAGTTAACTTGCTATTTAATTTAATCTGGAAAATATCTTGGTTGCTCATTTATCGAGCATGCATTATATGCCAGAGATTTTAGTAGGCACTGAGTATACATCAATGAACAAGGTACAGACCTTGCACTCAAGAACTCGAAGTCTGATATGCAAGACAGACGTGTATCAAGATTGGCGTAATGCCATCCAGTGGTTTTAGAGGTGCGTGAACAAGAAATTATGAAATACAAGAAAGAAGCAATTTAATCTGCTTCAAGGCATTGACTAAAGTTTAAAGTTTCACAGAGGTTGAATACAATTGATCTAAGTTTTAAAGAATATGTATAAATTTGCTACATGGAGAAAAATAAAAAAGACATTTCAAGACAAAGAAATACTGTAGCACATATAAAAATAAGTATATGGGAAAGGACATTGTGTTCAAGGAAAATGGAGTGATATTAGGAATGGCAAAGAAGAATGAATTGTAGAAGGTCACAGGATATAAGAACAAAGAGTTAGACATGGATTAAACTAAGACAAGTTGTGTATGCTTATTCTAAACATTACTTTTTTTTTTTTTTTTTTTGCGAGACATAGAGAATCCTAAATGGAGAAACTGAAGTAAAGATAAATCTCTTAAGACAGAAGGACAGAAAACAGTAAAGCTAGACCTCACATGTACTGGAAATCACATAGGAATCTGGATGTTCTATTCCTTTTTCAGTGACCACGGTTTCCCATCTCTGTTTCTCTCTGGGTTTATTCCATTATTCTCTTCTAATAGACCCACTTCCTTTGTATCCTCATTATTTTTTGACATGACCTTAAAATAAGCAATTCAATTCTGAAATCTAAATGAACCTTTATCTCAGGTCCAGCCATGTGGGTGATTTTTCCTTTCACTCCACTATTTGTTTCCTATAGGATGCAATATATACAGTATATTTGTCATTTCCCATTGATTTGAAATCCCTGAGGTAGTCTTCAGCTCATAGATTTCTTTTTATTTTCTTTGGCTGTTTCTGTCTCCATTCTCTCTCCTGAACCCCCATTAGACACTTCTAGAAATGCTGAATCAATTATCTGTACATATTAGCTCTTTTTTTTTACATCGTATATCTTTGTCATTTGCATTTTATTTTGGGATAATTGCTTAGGCCAGTTTCCTATTGCCTCATTTTATATTTTTTCTGTGACCATTCTGTTAAGCATATCTATTGAGGTGAGACATGTTTCCCTTTTTTAAAAATGAGTAGTAGTCAGGTTAGATTATGTTATTCTGTGGTAATAAATTAACCCTAGAATGCATAATTTATTGTTGACTCAATAATTTGATACCAGTCAGGGAAACTTCCTCTACTTTTTGGGCTATGAAATGAGAAGCTGTAGCCCTCAAGGTCAAAATGGAGCAGAGAAGAGGATGAATGAAAGCATCAGCTGTTATCAAAGGCCAGATGTACATCACTTTCACTCACATCCATTGTCTATAACTCAGACACTCAACCTAACTGCCAGGAAATTTAGAGAATGAGCTCAGAAAAAGGAAAAAGAAAACAATATTTGATTGAAAAAAAAACACATAGTTTTGTCTCTGCCAAAATTTTAATCTCCAAGATGTCTATATGCGATGTCATTGGGAATACTGCTTAGATATTTCTTACATTTACCTAATGTTCTGTTTTCTTGTATTGAATATTATAGTATCTGCTATAGCAATTGGTCCCAAGACCGTAATTGATATTCACAGTCTCCCTTTTCTAGTGCCTATTCTAGATTACCCTAACAATTCTGCAGATCTGAGGGCCAGGTTTTCACCTTTGGCGGGATAACACAGATCCTCACCCTGCTCATCATGACCTTTCCAATCATGCTTGCCACAATTGTTTATCTATATTTATCATCATGCATGACAGAATGAAGAGGAATCTCGGTAAATCCCTGAGTTTCAGACACATTCCTCCCTACCCCAATAATACAGGAGCAATCCTATGGCCTCCATATAATGAGTCAATTACTTCTGCTAGAATATAAATGTTTCTCTTTGCCTGCCTAAGAGTAGCATAAGAGTGCACAAAATGGTCTATGGTAGATAGACCTGTAGGCTTCATGGAGCCACTTTGTGTCTGCTGGTAGAGTCACCCTTTCCCTAAAACTAGGAGTCTATTCATGCAGAGCCAGATCGTCAGAAGAAAGAAAGTATTACCCAAGTGGGTCAGTGGCCATGAAAGTTGGTGAAACTGGTATACTCCTACCTTCTTCTCTGAGAGACATCCATTCTACCCATTGAGGATTCAGCACCATCTAATAGCTGTTGGCCTAAAACATATGCTTTATCTCACAGAAAATCACTCTAGTTCTACAAGGATTCATCCCCCAAAGCTTAATTCAGATGTATCTTTTTTTTTTTTTTTTTTTTTTTTTTTTTTTTGAGATGAGTCTTGCTCTGTTGCCCAGGCTGGAGTGCAGTAGCGTGATCTCGGCTCACTGCAATCTCCGCCTCCCAGGTTCAAGCAATTCTCCTGCCTCAAGCCTCCCAAGTAGCTGGGATTACAGGTGCACGCCACCATGTCTGGCTAATTTTTGTATTTTTTTTTTCAGAAGAGACAGAGTTTCACCATGTTAGCCAGGCTGGTCTCGAACTCCTGATCTTGTGATCTACCCGCCTCAGCTTCCCAAAGTGCTGGGATTACAGGTGTGAGCCACTGTGCCCAGCCAATTCAGATGTACCTTTTATAAGACTGTTCTAACGTACTAACAGAAAACAGTTTCTAGACAACGCAGTTTAACACAGAATCAGTGGTATCATGGCCCTATATTATTATACTTTCCCAAATAGGCCCATTAGCCCAAGGCCATATTATAAAAATCCCATGATCAGTGTGTGAACCTGGGGTAGTGAAGCTGGGTAATACAGAAAAGACAAATGCATAACAAGAAGGCACACCAACCTCAGTAAAAACAAAGCACCTCCTACTTTTAAGTGAAGACATCTGACATAATCAGCTTGCCACTGATAGCTGGTTACTGTCCTCGAGGAACTATGCCATATTGAGGGCCCAGTGTCGGTCTCCAATGCTGACAAAACACGTATTCATCATTAACAACAGCTATCTCAATCTTGGTAAGACGAAGCCCATGCTGTTGTGCCAGTGCCCGGTCTTGATCCCTGCCACCATAACTAGCCCATTCATTGAACTATTTTGAAGGTGTTGGAGTAGTCAAGGACAAATGCTGCCTAACTCTCACTGGAAAATTCATGATATCCACTTGGTTCTTTGGTGCTTCCTCTACAGTATTTGCTTTCTTTCAAGTGTTATATTTGCTATCTTGTGTTGTATAACAGATTATTCTCAAAACTTAGCTGCTTAAAACACCATTTGTTGTTTTAAAGTTTATGTGGGGCAAGTAAGCTGCCACGTTGAGAGTTGTCCTACTGAGAGGCCCATGTGGCAAGGAACTGATGTCCCCGGCCAACAGCCAGCAAGCATCCGAGGCCTGCCAGCAGCCACATGGCCACTCCTTCCTGCAGACCTAGACATTTTAGTGGGATGTGGATGTCCAAGGTTTTAAAGAATATCTTATGTTCCTATCTCATTTAAGAATATAAGAATATTAAGAACATAAGAATACCACTCTTATGTTCCTATCTCATATTTTAGTGTCTCACTCTTTATCACATATTTACCTTTAATGTAAGACTTGTTGGGGCTATGAATTCAACTCTAGGTCTATCATATCAGATTCCAGTCTAATTTTTAGCTCAATCTCCCATCTACCTGCAGGAGACAATGATTCTGTTGTATTTTTTTAATTCCATAGATATCTGTTGTTTTCACATCTTATACTAAGTTGCTCATTATCTGACCCAAGCCTACCCTTTTTCCTATTAATGCTTTATTGCCATTTAATCCACAAACCACACAGGCTTTAAGTACCATGGTCCTCATCTCTCTTAAATGCTTGATAGTTTTTATAAGCCAATTGGGGTGGGCAGAATAATATTCCTCAAAAGATGTCCACATATTAACCCCTAGAACCTACGAATTTGTTAGTTCACATGGCAAAAGGGAATGTGTGTGTGTGTGTGTGTGTGTGTGTATAAATGGTAAGATTATTCTGGATTATTGGGTTGAACCCAATCTAATCATATAGGTCCTTATAAAAGCAGATAATCCTTCCCAGCTGTGGTTAGACAGAAATGTGACTATGGGAGAATGGTCTGAGACAGACAACATTACTCGTTTTGAAAACAGAAGAAAGCCACAAGCCAAGAAATAGAGGTGGCCTTTAAAAGATGGAAATGCCAAGAAAATAAATGATCCCCAAGAGCTTTCAGAGGGAACACAGACTTCTCAACACCTGATATGAGTCTAATGAGACCTGTGCTGAATTTCTAACCTATTGAATGCTAACATAATAAATTTGTGTTGTTTCAAGCCACTAAATTTGTGGTAATGTGTTAAGGCAGAAAGAGAAAACTAATAACTCTCCTGTCATTTCACATTGATTTTGCCCCAATTCTCCTCAGGTGAGAGCATTAGTAATTCTCTAACCACTTCAGTAGAATCAGTGGTGATACATTCTTAGAAACTGGTTCATTGCTAGAATCTCACTCTCAGGATCTGTCGGACTACTTCTAGTGTGTAACTATCGTAATTTCTGGCTTCCTAGAAGCAGATCTTTAAAAAAATAATTAAAGTGCAAAAATGTAGTTAGGAAGTGATTCCTGGAAACATCATTGGAGAGAAGATAAGTGATATAATGAATGGGAGAAAGCCAATAAAAAGTGTTTACAGCTGTGGGCACCTGAAGCTTAATCCAATGGAAGAATTCAGGAAAATAGGTGAATTATACATACTTGAGAATTATCCCACCCAGGTGACAAGGGAAATGGAGTGAGGATCCAGATATTCTCATTATCTATTGTTTGAGGGATGGATGATCCCAAGGGCCATTCCTTCACCAGTGCTTCTGGCCTATCCCCTGAGAAGGCACAACGGGCTCTGGTGGTCACAGAGTACCCTGTGACAAAGAATCAGAGGTGCTGGCAGTTGGAAATTGGGCCAGAGTGCAGGGAAATGGTAAGTGCCAAGGAGAGATGGATGGATCACTTAGAGTATCTGTTGTGATCATCAATTCATATTTGTTCTACTACAAGATATCTATCACATCTGTTATGTAATACCCATGCCCTTTGCTACTGTCCTACTTAGTATGGTTGTCACATCTCATCTGGGCTCCTCTAATGAATTAGTAATTCTTTACCCTGATTCTACTGTCTTTCTTCTCCCCTGCTTCACTGCAGTTTTACATAACACAAATCTAATTATGCTGTTTTTATTCTCACAATTTTTAAATTTACCCTCAATTTGTATTATTCCATCCAAGGATTTTTAATCTGGCTTGAAAACTCTCAGGATCTAACACCACTTTTTTCTCTCTTTCTTTTGTATCAGGTACATCGATATATTTACAGATTATGTCAAACATTAGATGTACATTATGGCATCAGACTTATTTTTCTGTTCCTATGTTCTACCCCTGAGCAATTCTCCTTTTCCCCAATATACCATAGGCTTTCACTCTCCCATCTCTTTGTTCTTATTCTTTTTTATGCCTCAATTTATCTTATACTTCAAGGCTCAGCTCACCTGTCATCTACTTTGTAATAATTTTCTAATTTCCTAGATAGAATGAATTATTCCTATGCCAGTTCTTCCATGGTATTGCTTATTCTTCTATGTGTCTGACTTATATTAAGCTGTTGTCTCTTATCTCTCCCAATAAATTTTGGGCTTTTTTTGGTCATGCTTCCAGCTAAATGCTTTACACATAGTAGACATCTAGCAAATGGGTCTTTGATAGCAATCAATCAGAATCAAATTTACTGGTGTACAGAAAGGGGTGAGATGTGGTGTTAGGGTTTATGATTGTCGTTTCATAAGAATAATATCCAATCAACCACTCTCAGGATTAAATATATTTATCTTTAGTAATTTTTGAAACATGCTACCAAAGACAATAAATTAAAATAAATAAATATTAGGATGATCATTTTTCTCATAACCCAATTCTTATTTTCTTCCTTAATCTTATTTCAGGTACTGCATAGAGGTTTGATTTACCTTATTCTTGAAGTCCTTCAAGAAAGAGAATTTTTTGAGTGTGATACAAATGGGAGCCAATTATCCTATTGCAAAAAAAAAATGTTACTGAATTGCTCCTAAAGTGTTGGCTGGCATCCAACCTCTGTGAATGGCATGGCTCAAATATTGCATAGTCCATATTCTGCCTTACATTTTGAAATGGCATTAGAAAACAAGACAGACAAAAACCTAAAAGGGGCCAGCAACAAGCAACAAAAATAATTTAATGGATAGAATTAAGCCCATGTGAGAAAAGGTTAATGGAGTAAGAGTTGTTTATTAAAAGAAAAAAATAAGGGAAGGTTCAGAGTGACAAATTAACTATCTACAAATATATTAAGGCATATTCATTAAGTGAGAATGCTGACCAGTTGAGCTGTATCTGAATAACACAAAATGAGAGTGAATTTCTCTGACAGTGTTTTTAGTTATAAGTTGAATATGATTGATTGCTAGAATGATTCATTTTTCAGATAAACCAGAAATGCACATTTAGGCATGTGATGCCTAGAGAACTTTCAGTATTGCTTTTCAATGTATAGATTAGACATTTACCTGACTAGAGATGTGAAAATGAACCCAATGTCCCTCAAATTTTAAATTTTATTTTTATAAAAGTTAATTTGGATCTGATATCAGATCTCCAAAATCATAGTGGGATGAGGCATTGAGCCACTAATAATTTCATAAATGATTTGGTATAAACAATGATAGTAAAAACATCAGGACACATTGGCCAACAGTTGAATTTTAGATAACCTCTTCATGGAACTTCTAAGCAGAGTTTAGGGTATTTTGAGGCTGTTTACATTGGAACATCATAAATGAAAACAGGTGGTTTATTAGTAATTTGTAAATTTTATGTGCATAGATATTAAGTAGTTCAGATGTAAATGTGAAGATAATACCCTGTTGAAAGATAAGAAGTAGCTAGGGCAGGATGCCTTCTGGATGGTAAGTATGTAGGAAACTGCCAAGAAGAGTAAATCACTCATCTCCAATTTATTTTGAACTGTGATTATTTAAAGAGTAGAAGAAGGCAGGACATAAAAGACCTCACAGTAAGAAGCAAGCTATGAGAATACTAGGAGAGTGATTACATCAGCAAAATTTGGTAAACAATCCTTTAAAAAGTAGTTTATTTGAAAAGATTCTTCAAGCAACAGGGACAATGAGTATCATGGGGGCATTAAAAACTGCAGAATAACTGTAGGATAATGTGATATTGTAGGTTATTGTAATTTGCATATTGCATAATAATGTGTATATGAGTGGGTGTGCATTTATTTTTATGTGACAAAAGGAAAGGGAAATTTGTATCTACCCTATGTTTATTATACAAACTACTTTCTATTTTACACTTTGGATGAATCTTTTACCCATGCTGATTTTGTAATAGCATGCGTAAGTCATTTGGAAATACTGGTAACTGAATTAAGATCTTCCTATGCTTCATATATTCTTTTATATAATACAAAAAAACACATTTCTTAATATTACTACAAATACCAACAGAAACATCAAGTCCTGGGAAGCTTTCAAATTCATGGTGGCAACAAAATTTTTCCGAAGTTTTACTTTTACTTGAAAGCTTAAATTTTATTCCATTATTATACTTAGTTTTTTGAAGTGACAGATTTGCTTTATATTTTCTTAAAGAAAATATTGGCAAAACATCCAAGCTTGAATATCCATAGTTTGTGAGTCTGTTGAAACTTTAAGTGAAATAGAGTTTCATGAATAAAAGGACTAGTTCAGGTAGCAACTGAAACAATCACACAAGGGCTTTATGTAGAGACAAATACACTTTGGTGTGCAGCAGAAGCGCTTTACGCAAATTTCCCATTCTGTTACAGAATATTAAAATGGCGTGTGCTCAAGGGTCAAGATTTAATATCATTAATCAATTTTATTGCTTTATCAAGGACATTCATAAGTAAAATATGCATTTGTGTGTGTGTGTGTGTGTGTGTGTGTGTGTTACATGACAGTGAAGAATGCAGTGACCACAAATACAATTTGTTGCCACTACCTTGGTTTGTGGTTAAGTCCCCAGCAGTTTTGCTCACCATAGTTTTTGCACTGTCAGTGAACGTGACAGCACAGTAAAAAAAAAGACGATGTCTCAATGATATTATGACTGTGACCTTGTGGAGTCCCTGAATGACTGCCAACGTTCTAGGGAGCGTCTGCAGTAGAGGAAGATGGTATCTTCAGCTTTGACCCCTGTTAGAAGTGTTGCTGGTTCAACATGTTTGTCTGTGTGTTAAAAGCCACCTGGAGAAGCAGTCAGCACTAACGTAAATACCAAATAATATCACACTAAGATGTATCTTACTCTATTCTTTCAGTGTCTTTGGCTGGTAAAACCTGTACTCTTTCTCTGTTTATATTTAGCCTCTCTAGATTGAATACCTAATCTGTTCATTCTGCACCTCTGATCCCAGCTCTTTTTCTTGGTTACCCTTCTTAACTTTCTCTTTCTGCCTGGCAGTCACATGAACAATCTTTTGGGTAAATTTCCAGTTCGTCCTTAAGCTGAGATTTCTCTCAGCCGTGCACATTCCTCACGAGCTATCCCCTATTGAAGAATGACCTAGATTTGTGAACAGAAGACAGAATTAAACGTCCACAGTTTACTAGTAGTAATTTTCCTTCAGGTGAAAACTTAACATTATCCAGTACTTTAAGATACATAGTTTTTGTCAATTATTAATTCACCTAACAAACATTTTCAGAGATTAATGTCTTGTTGAAATTCAAATATATTACCTAGGCAGCATTTCCCAATCCCTGCGTACAAGAATCCTATCGATAATTTAAAAAACAAACATATTTAAAAAACAAACATATATATTACCTATGATACGTGTTGGTCATCACTGATTCTCTTTCTAAGGAAGAAAACCACTGTTTTTCAAGGTCTATTTTCTCTCATATACATAATAACTTTATTTTACTCTTTTAAAAGCCAGGAAAACAGTTCCTTAGTTCTAAAATTCTAATATGTTTCTTATATTCTATAATTTTGAAACATTAATTCACTGAGATTATCTCTTGAAATTTCTCCATATGATACAAATTTATTCTTTGGATTAGGAGATTGGATTTATATTATCCATCCATGAATTTTCCTATAATTTTCTTAAGGTCTTAAAATCCTATTTCTTTTTAACTATTTCTTGTTATTTTATCATTATTTGTGGTGTAAAAAAGTCCATGGGTTATTTACACATATGTTTTACTTGTGATTTACTAATTTGAAGCCTGTTATCCTTAATCTGTTCTTCAGTTTTGTTATTATAAAAACAGAAAAAAAAAACACACACACATCAAATTTACACATTTGTTGACGGCACTCTACTAACAGAGAGCCAAGCCTACACAAAGAATGCCACTCTGTTAGTCTCATCTTTTTAAACTGGGGACAACATAAAGAAGATTTTAAATAAAGTATTAGAATTTGTTCAGACTCTTGACTACTCTCCAACACTAAGAATTAGTTTGATGATCTTTGTATCTTTGGCAATGCGAACAGTGCTAGACAAGTAACTATTAATTTTTTTTTAAAAAAAATTGGTGGCCTGAACTATAACTTTAGGTAAAATAGAAACAGTATTTTATTTCTCATTATCATGTGTGCACACTGATCATCTGCCTCAAATATCGGGGTCATGCCTTCATCGAAACTCACTTTGCACATAATAAGTTTTATAAATGCCTTTTTGAAATGTTTATATTTTGTCAAGGCTTATCTCACTCTGAGTGTTAGAATTCCTAACATATTTTACCAATATCAGCCAGTATCTGGTATTTAACTGTGTTTGTTTCTCCTTTTTCTCCTTTGTCTTTTTTTTTTTTTGGAGACAGAGTTCCGCTCTGTCACCCAGGCTGGAGTGCAGTGGCGCAATCTTGGCTCCCTGCAACCTCCACCTCCCAGGTTCAAGCGATTCTCCTGCCTCAGCCTCCCAAGTAGCTCGGACTACAGGCGCCCGCCACCATGCCAAGCTAATTTTTATATTTTTAGTAGAGACGGGGTTTTACCATGTTAGCCAGGATGGTCCGCATCTCCTGACCTCGCGATCCGCCCGCCTCGACCTCCCAAAGTGCTGGGATTACAGGAGTGAGCCACCACACCCGGCCTCTTCCTTGTCATTTTTATGTGCCTCATCAGGCGAAGAAGAATAAAAGAAATAGGGAAGGCAGTTCTTGACCTTGCTTCGATAGGTAATGCATTTGATAATTTGATCTTAGCAATTTCATTTATATAAAAGAAAAAATGATGATATCATATATGCTTAACACAGATAATCTATTTAAATATCTTAGTCAAATATGGAGAAATTATTTAAAAAATGTGATCACCCAACTAGTTCTGAACATTGGTTATGGTTTTATTCTAGACACAGACTTCCCTTACTCTGGATGCCTGTGTGAAAGTAGGGAAATTCTGTGGCTGAACTTTTAACATTATTCCGTTGCCTACTGAATTAAGAAAGACTTTCTACATGACTTATAATCTGTTCTTAAAATACTCATCAAACATTGTGTCCCACCAGAATCACTCTGGGAAAGCTGGTAGAAATCGGGCTCCCACCATATTCTCATCCTCCGGCATGATTGAACCCTTCATAGTATTTATTCCACTTGCCCTAAATTGGTAGACTGTGACAAAAGGCTCATGAAATAATTGACTCTGATCTGTACAAATCCCTAGGGTGTTGAGTCAACTATCAGTTCCACAAAAGACATAATGAGAAGACTGCCACTGTTTCCTCCCATAATTTTATAACCTTAAGGTTTAGACTTTAACATTTTTATTTGAATAATGGCAGTTTGGATCCTTTTTAAAGAAATTGTTTGCAGGAAACTGAAATGCAGGCTAAAATTTCTCAAACCATGGTCCTTGAATTATCTGCACCAAAATCACATGAAATACTTTCTAAAATACAGATTGCTGAGGCCACTCAGCTTCATGAAATCAGTGTCTATGAGGGTATCTCTGAAGAATATACACCTTTCACAGGAAACTGACTGTCAGGTTCCAACCTGAGCTGGGGTTTGAGGGAAGCTGGTGGACAGGTGGCAGGTAGCTGAAAGAACACTCGAGGGACCATAGCCAGTTGGGACATGGCTTTATTCTCTCTCCACTCTCTCCTACAGAGTCAGCAGTGTAGTTATATTTTTCACAGACAACAGTGGCTCAAAGCCAGATATGAACTCACACAAACAGGTTACATGAACACGGCTACATAAATGTGGATTAGTGCACAGAATTGTGAACCTGCGCTCCAAACCCGCTGTGTCATGCTGTACCGGATGTCTGCCTCTGCCTACTCCTGACTGGAGCACAGCCATTTTCCTTACACCCATGTGATTATTTTTCCAACCTAAAATTTGAAGACTTCTGCTCTGGCTTTGTAGGCAGAGGGAAATCAGACTTCCCTTTTACAGGAGAAATCAAGAGTAAATCTTTATAGAAGATCTATTAAGGGATGTTTTGTATGTGTTTTGAAAGTAAAAATAGCAATCTTAGGCAATATCCTGCATTTAGATAATCTTGACATATGGAAAAGAGAGAGGAAATGGAATTGATCTACCTTGTTCATTCTAATTGCATTTTGTCACTGAGATTGCTCTTTTTTTGGTTAAGTTCATGTGCACCCCTGAACCCACTCATCCAGGGAGAGATAGGAAAGAGGAGACTGAGGAAAGATGAAGTAAAATAAAAAGTCGAAAGGCTGTATCTGAGAGGTTTGTCCCACTTAAGAGTAAAGAACTGAGTTAACAGGCTCAGAAAAGAGCAGAAATACTTGTTGTTCAAAAGAAATATTAATAATATGATAAAGTCAAATGAAATAAAATAAAAAACTTTTATATCAGTGCAAGAGCAATCTTGTCTGATACCCTTATATTTATCAGAAGTCATAATGTAATTGTGGCAAAAAGGTAATGAATTCTCTCAGAAATGACTAAATGTAGAAAATACAAAGGGAAAGGAAAATTATGTCATAAATTATATAGAGCATTCTAATGTGCCATCCAGCAGGCAATTTTAAGCAGATTAATAAATATTTTGAACTGATATTAAAGTAATAGACAATAAGGTATGTCTTTACATAAAAAGAATAGGGTAATTTTATAAAAGCAATAGCATTTATTGCAATGTATTTCCCAGAGCACATTCTACTAAATATAGATTCATATTGTTACCAAAATTACTATACACAATAAACATTATGTATTAGCTCGCGTGATAGGAGATTTGGCTTTCTTTTCTTCTGTTAGCTTCTGAGGGTGGAAAACCATGATTCCCCTCACTCCAAGCTGAACTTCCTGTTTTCACATTTGTACACATTTTCAGTAGCAGTACTAATGGTGAACACATTACTTTTTCCTATGCTAAATGCTTGTAATGCTAAGAATCTTCTCCTCCCCAAAAGTTATCCTCAGGAAAGTGTATGATACAAGATTTTCAGTTTCAGTATGACTTCAGGTCAATATATACTTCTCTAAACTGAAACTACTCATTTTAGAGTTGAACTTAACATTATAAATAAAAGTCTTCAGGTCAGGTGCAGTGTCTTGCACCTGTAATCCCAGCACTTTGGGAGGCTGAGGTGGGAGGATTGCTTGAGATTAGGAATTTGAGACCAGCCTGGGCAACACAATGTGATTCTATCTCTACAAAAACGTTTTTAAAATTAGCTAGGTGTGTTGGTGCACACCTGTAGTCCCAGCTACTCCAGAGGCTGAGGTGAGAGGATCACTTAAGCCCGGGAGTTACGAGTTACGGTAAGCTATGAATGCATCATTTCACTCCAGCCTGGATGACAGAGTGAGATCCTATCTCAACAAAAATAAAATAAATAAATGAATAAATAAAAGTCTTCATATTCTTCCTATGCTGATAACGTAATTTCAGAGACTCTGGGACAAATGGATAAAATGATATAAAATATTAACCAAGGTGAATTTCAAACTTTAAAACTATTAACTTTAGAGATTTGAAAGGATTTCTGCATTGCAACAGGAAATTGTGGGCCTTATTTTGCATAAATACTCAAGAGGTTGAGGCGAGAAGATTGCTTGAGTCCAGGGGTTCGAGGCTGCTCTGTGTTATGATATTGCCACTGCACTCTAGCCTCAGCAACAGAGCCAGACTCTCTCCTTAAAACAAAAATAAAATAAATTAAAACAAATAAGATGATTATTTACAATCTTAAAATGAAAGTTTTGAATTCTTAAATTCTAGTGGCATCAGTTAAATTGAAGAATGAATGAGTCTATTCATTCTGCAAATGTTACTATGTTAACATCTATTATATGACATGTTTTACTCACTATTGTATATCCAGGTAGCTGGTACTGTTTCCAGTACTTAATGGATGTTCAAGTATTTGTTAAGTATTGCATAAAAACATGCATATTTATTATATTTTAGTTTAACATACATTATTCTATTTGTTAGTCAAAAACTTTGTAAGATGCAATGAAGCCCATTGCTTATGATATAATATTGATTTTCAAAAACAGCTATATATTTAACTTTATTGTGTGGGAATTTTCTTTTGGATTTGGCTTAATTTAAAGAGACCCATTAGTTTAATGAGATTTTAACAATTTTTAGTGGCAGTGACTGACAGATTACCTGCTCTAAAGATAAGACCTTGGCCTAAATGAAGAAACTTAAGCATGCAGAGGTGAGGTAATTTGTGCTAGGTCATGCAGCAGCTGACGATGGAGTAAGAATTGGATCTAGGTAGTTAGAATTCTATGCCTGCCCAACGTTTAGATCCCATAAGAAGAAAACCAAAAGAACACAGCTGCATGCAATTTAGAGAAGAAAGAATTTCCACAAAGGAAAGAGAAAAGGAATTATAATTTCAACATAGGAAATTCAATAGAGTATCCGAGGACAGTGAGGGCTAGGAAAAGTCCTCATAGAGATTGGATATGAACTCACTTTTCAAGAAGTTAAGGTGAGAGTGAAAGGAAAAGGAAGACCATGAGAAGAAATTATTTTTTCCCATTCTTTGACAATAAAAGAAAGAGAATTGTTACTTAACCAGGTCACAGGTAGACCATTTTAAGAGGAGAAACTCATATGTGTAGGGAAGGTAAAACTTCTAGTAGTGAGGGAGAGATTAACTGACACAAGAGAGAAAAACCAAACGATCCAAGAGAAAGGAAAGCATCGATAAAAAGTTCTCAGATGAAGGAACAAAGGCACAGGTGGAGTCGGTGGTCTTGGAATAGACCATTTGTGTGAATCCGCCATTTAATCATTAGAATAGAACTGATCCCTGCAGCCTTTGAAAACCTAGATATTTTAAAATACAATAGTCTGTGTTTATATTTCTTGTTGGTTTCAGAACATCTTGATATAGCTCCTAGTTATATTTCCAAGGGTAAGATTCTGTTTTTAAGCATTTCGTCTACAACATTTGACAGTACCTATAAACTTTATTTATGTACCATGGAGTTAGAAAAGAGTCATAAATATCAATGTGAATAAAGTGTTGATTTGATAGAGTAGTAGAGTCATGAAAAATCAACCTACTTAAATGTAACCCTAAACATTTATCTCAGAGAATAGAAGAGGTACTGAAATCTTTTTTAGCTTCATGTCTTTTGATGGCTTTTATGGGGGCAAGAATACTCAGATTGCTATCAACACAGAAAATTGGATGACTCAGTTTTCCCAAAATGTATTATAAGATCCACGCAGCACATAGTGAGTGTGTATGTTTAACCTTTACAAAGGAAGCTTGAGGGAAAGGCTTTTTTTTTTCTAAAATACTTCAGTTAAAAAATCATTGAAAATGTATCTTTCCCGAGAAGAAATTGATTCTAGTTAATACTGCTGAACTAAAGAGTGACAACATATAGATCTACAACAGAGTGAGTTCTCTGTGTTTTGTACAATTATTGAATTTTTTAATAAATAAGATTAAGAGTAAATACCAGGAAATTAAGTGAACTTAAATTAGTATTTGTCTTTGTATCATAAATGCCCTAAGAGACTTAGAAGTATTGGGAAAGAAGAACATTATACAATATTTATATGCTGTTATAAATTAGAAGAGACTGTTGTATTTGCTCTGTGTTATGAATAAGTAGTTGTATTTTATAATGGACAGAAATTTTCTAACAGAGACTCAAACTAGAAAGGAACTGGAGTTTTCAGATTGTGGCTCTGAAATGATATTATAAAGAAGAAAGTGATATAAAAGTCTTCCAGTTGGAAAAGGACATTAGAAACCATCTAGTCTAACTTTTCACTAATACAGAATTTTCTCTACAGTTGTCCATTGTAATGTATATTAAGCATCTACTCTGCAACAGCCACCAGGTTTGTAAAGATAAGCTATGCTTCCTAAATCAGAAAAAAATATAATATACAAGTAGTAAAAAACAGATAAATAAATGATTTGTAGGTAATTATTTAAAAAATAAGTTTTTTTAGTAACATAGGAAGAGCAACAGAGAAGAGTGTAAATAATTGATATGTTATTGGGCCAATGAAAGCTTCAAGGGAAAGTAACACTAGGGGAGTAAAGAAGCATTTTATGAGTTTACATAGAAGACATAGCAAAAAGCAGGGATCAGCAAATATTGGAGGCATGACATAAAATGCTGTGTTCTTGGAAAGTGCTTTAGAGCTTCTGAATGGTAACACCCTTGTATGTACATACAGCAATGGAGACAAGAGGAAAGTTGATGGAAATTAGACTGGAGAGGTGGAGAAAGGCCAGATCATCTCAGTTCTTATTTATTGCATCAGAGTATTCCAACCTCAACCTGAAAGCATCGAGAGGGAGGGGAGAGGATTAAGTGGTGGGTAATATGATCAGATTTGGTTTCAGTGAAGTAGGTAGAGTGGGGCCAGATTAAGGGCAGGGTGGTTAGAGGGGAAGTCATTATAATAGTCTAGACACAACAGAAGAGAAGAAGGGTAGAGTTAAGGGACATGCATAAGGTAAGATTCCCAAGATGTGGCCTTTGATCAGATACAGGGGATAAAGGATGAGCTGAAGATAATACTTAGATGGGTGACACAGGATAATTTAATTGATACTATTATTTATGTTATGCTTTACCCCTGGATGGAATAAATGCTTTTAGCCATTGGTGCTCAGGGTTGTGAAAAAAACTGTGAGCTGCCACTAATGAGTATAAACCCTTCTGTGACAGTTTTAAGACACTCAGATGTCACTTACTTTGTGGTGATAATGTCCCCGGTGCCTGTGATTAGTGAGCATTGTCTTCTTCATAGCCCTTTAGCTGCCACATAAATCAGCAGTGTATGTGCTTCAGTGAGCACTTGTAAATAACTTACAAATTAATTGCTCCTAGTTGTTCAGATAACTCTGCAGAAGGATGAAATTAAAGTTGCTCTGTGGCTTATTTGAAAGAATGGAGGGAAATTGAACTTTCTATTAACTTATGCAAAGCAGGACATGTATGTAACATTTACAGTTATCATCATCATCATAATTAACAAAAATCCCTTTGATGTTTTGGCATACAGCATTTTACAAAGTTAACTCTCCCATATCAAAACTACACCCTTGGATCATTTTACAAATGAAGATATTATATAGAATGAGGGGTACCTTTGTTGATATTCCTTTCATTGAGGGATCAGCACAGTTTAATTTACAGTTAGCCTATCCATGCTTATACCATCCTTAGGAAGAGCTTTGAAGAAAATGATTATTTGGTTCTAATGTTAAATTCTTTGTGCAACTGACCTAGGATCCGTTGGTACTCACGGCTTGGGACAGGAATTTAAGTTCCTAAGAGAAAAAGGAAATGATCCAAGAAGCTTTGAAATTTTATCAATGACATTTTCTGCATTTGAAAGTTCAAACTCAGCTTTATTAATGGAAAGTTGTCTCATGTTAATTTCTATTAATGTATTTGCATTTCTGATTTTTCTAATGGCCTCTGATGCTTATCTGCATTGTATCATGAAAAATGTGGAACTCATTCTTCTAATGTATAAGTTGATAAGGTTTGTCACTGACAATCTAATTACTAGAAAATTAAGGATTTTATATAAAAGCAAAAAATCATAAAATAACCTGGATAGTCTATCAACAGTTTTCCAAATTTATTGAGGGACAATTTACATAAAATCAAACCTTTCTATTTTAAGTATACAGTTGATGAGTTGTGACAATTTTATAAGGTTGTATAGGCACTACCATAATTGATATATAGAACATTTATCTCATTATAAAAATGTCTCTCCTTTCCATTTGCCATCACTTCACTAAACTCTTGGCATTAGGCAAACACTGATTTGCATTTTGTTATAATAGTTTGACTTTTCCAGATTTTTATACATACAGTATGCAGTATTTTGTATTTGTCTTCTCAAACTTATTATATGTTCAAGATTTATCTTCATTATGGTTGTATTATCTATTGCTGCATAGTATTACATATTATGGATATACTATAATTTGTTTATTCATTCACTAGTTGATTGATATTTAGATTTTTTTAAATAATTGGACTATTATGAATAGTGTTGCTATGGTTTAACAGAGGATGAGACTGTGAAAACAAGGGGTTGGAGTGATGTCGGAGAGAGTCTGTGAGCCACAAAATGCGGGTAGCTTTTAAAAGCTGAAAAAGACAAGGAAATGAATTTTACCCTGAAGCCTCTGGATGGAATGTAGCCCAGCAAACACTGACCTGCACAGTGAGAGACGATAAATTTGTGTTAACTTAAACCACTAGGTTGTGGTAATTTGTTACAATGGAGATAGAAGCCAATACAGATTTTGATTTGTTCACATATGGTATAGAAAGGTGTTTTCATTTTTCTTGGATAAATATGTAAGAGTGGGATGGCTGAGTCCTATGGTAAGTACAAAGGTATCCTTTTGAATAACCAGATCACCTTAAAACCTACCTTGTGCCAAGGAAAGGAACATTTTATGTTCAGCCTCCAAGATTGTTGTCATATGTGACTTGCCACTGCAATGTATTAGTACTGGATGAATTCATTAATTTTTGTTGCTAAAACTATAATCACGGGAGTCAAACACAAGTAAGTTTTAACACTTATGTAACCTCAGAAAGTTACATACCTTCTTTGTTATTCAGTTTCCATGTATGTATGATGGGAGTATTAACATAAGTGAGAAGATACATATGAATTGAATAGTAGAATCTGGCACAAAGTTCATATTAAATATTGTGATTGCCAATATTTGACAATTCCCACAAGGACACTCCATAACACAATATATATGTGTACATCTC
The DNA here is from genome assembly GCF_000001405.40 of Homo sapiens. Lineage (NCBI taxonomy): Eukaryota > Metazoa > Chordata > Mammalia > Primates > Hominidae > Homo > Homo sapiens. The sequence goes on along the minus strand of NC_000011.10, from coordinate 104,643,430 downwards.
TTTTAGTGTGTGAAATAGCCAACTAAAATCACAACAGATGAGACTGTGAATAGAGTTAGTCATAAAAAAAATTGCAAGTTTCGATTCATATATGGTATGTCCAGCTCAGGTAAAATCATTAATAATATAACTTTTAAAATATATATTTTAAAGTCTTATTGGTCAGCATATAAAGAAGATAAGAACGCATTATCAATAAAGTAAACTACCATAATTCAAGGGCCTCTGAATTTAACCACTAATTTGCAGTAAATACAGAGGAATGAGATATTTTTCTATATCTATCCATTACAAGACACAAAACTACTTCATAGATGGTGTTGTATACTTTCATAATGTCTGGCTTTTTTGATGTCATTACTTTGATGATTATTGTCTAAATCTACAAATTCCTTAGAGGTTAAAATATGGTCATGTCCTAATTCTATCATTCTGCTCTCCATTAGTACTATGAATATTAACATAAAAGATAAACATCCCCTATCAACTACTTGATTACCCTGAAGTAATTCTGTATATAAATGTCATGATAAATATTCCATGGTTTTCCAAATATTCAGGTGAGTTCCTGGCATCTTTTTAAAGTTACGTTCCCACCTCCCCACCCCACTGGATCTTGGTGCCTAATGTGAAACCAGCATGCCATTATTTGGGTGGTGCCTGGGATAAATGTATGAAAGAAACTATCTTAAGGAGAAAATAAAACAAAACTTCCATTAATATTTAAAAGTGGTAAGGTTAATTTTATTAAGCAGTTAGTTAATTTAAGTAGTAATAAATTATAAAATGTTTTATATACTGTGTTTTCTATTTTGATGGTATTTAGATAAGTACTTAGATAAGTATTTAGAAAGATGACTTATTTAAACAATCTTCTCCATAATAAATCTGCCTTTTGTTATATAACTATCAATAATTGAAAACAATAAAAACAATAACAACCCCAAACACCCATAAAAATTTCAGCACTTATCTCTAATAAATAAGGATGCTTAATGTGGTACATACACACAATGGAATACTATTCAGCCATAAAAAATGAGACTCTGTCATTTGCAACAACAGGGATGTAACTGGAGGACATTTTGTTTATTGAAATAAGCCAGGCACAGAAAAACACATATTGCATCTACTCAATAATGTTCGGGAGCTAAAGAAAATATTGAACTCATGGAGCTAGAGAGTAGAATGATGGCTACCAAAGGCTGGGAAGCAGAGTGGGAATGGGAGATAAAGACGGGATGGTTTATGGGTATAAAAATACAGTTAGACAGAAGGAATACGATCTAGTGTTTGGTAGCACAATAGAGTGACTGTAGTAAATAATATTTTATTGTATATTTCAAAATAACTAGAAGAGTGAAATTAAAATGTTCCTAACACAAGGAAATGATGTTTGAGGTGATGAAATACCCCAATTACTCTGATTTGTTTATTACAAATTGTGTACTTGTGTCAAAATATGACATGCACCCTGTAAATATGTATAACTAGTATGTATTTATAATAACTAAAAATAAAAATAAATTACTGTTATGAGATCCACTTTTTAAGATATATTTTATCATAAACATAGAGAATAGATTGGGAGTTACACAAGGCTGGGGGGGATTTTAAAATAATAAAAAATATATAACTGTCGTAGTATAAGGCCCAACAAAGTTAATAATAATCTCTTAAAACCATCTAATATTCAGTCAATGTCAACATTGAAACAGAATGAATTGAGGCTTGAAGGCTTTGTGTGTTAGGGGTTTTGATGTTTGGTATTTATTTTATAATAATTCTTGGCTTAAGTAAAAACATGGGAGACATAGATGAAACAAGATCAACGAATATTGTTATTTGTGATCTATTCTGTGATAGACACATAAGGTTTCTGTGTACTACTGATAATTTTGTATATGTTTGAAAACTTTCATAGTAAATGTATAAAACGATAATCATGGACTTCTGGTTTCACCTCTGTCATGTGAAGAGCTCGGATGCTATCACTTCTCTCCTCACAACAAGAACAAAGCAGAGCAAACTGAAAATCAACAACCTTTCTTGCACCCATCAAAGAATTGAGGTTTCAAGGTAAACCAGCACCACAAAATCTGAAGAGACACGCAGAGATTCATAGCGGAGATCTGTTTTTTGAAGCAAAAACCACTGGAGCCTTACATTGGTGGATGTACCTATATGGTGATTGTGTTGCTTCGCTGGAGGCTGAGTGTGGACTGGTTGAGAGTGAGAACTCCTAATGGCTGAGTCTTAGGACAATCACACATTCATGGGTCTTATCTCTAGGAATCCCACTAATTCAGGGAAAATTACATTTCTAGCAAGAAATATAATTATATTCCTATATAATTTCATATAGCAAGAGGAGGAGAAAGCTAACCATTTTGAAATACTCCCAGAACATTTTCCATTTTAAGAAATATCTTCCCTGCAAGAAAAAAGACCATCAAATCCTTATACAACTTGGGAAAAAGAAATCATACAAATCCAGTCCCATCTAGCCTTCTTGTATCACCGAAGGGGAGGGGAAAATTGATAAGAAACATTTGTGAAGGTCACATCCTCAGAAACCAGGCCCACTCAAAACAACTGACATTAATTATAACATTATAGAATACTTCCTTTGCCCCATATCTCATCAACACATCAACAAAACTTCAGTATAACGATAATAGGTTATAGCTGAAAGAACTGCAAGACAGAGTCTATTTAAGAAGAAGCGCTTTGTTCCCTTTTGCCAAAGGTGATGGGACAGACCAAAATGCAGACACTAATAAAACCTAAGCTGCTGACACTAACAGCTACAGCAAACGTTATACACAGTTCAACTCCTAGCAGGATTAGCATAAGAACTAACACTAAAGATTTATTTACCGGCTGGGTGCGGTGGCTCACGCCTGTAATCCCAGCACTTTGGGAGGTCAAGGCAGGTGTATCACCTGAGGTCAGGAGTTCGAGACCAGCCTGGCCAACATGGTGAAACCTTGTCTCTACTAAAAATACAAAAAATAGCTGGATATGGTGGCCGGCGCCTGTAATCCCAGCTACTCGGAGGATGAGGCAGGAGAATCACTTGAACCCAGGAGGCGAAGGTTGTGGTGAGCCGAGATTGTGCCACTGCACTCCACCCTGGGTGACAGAGAGAGACTCTGTCTAAAAAAAAAAAAAAAAAAAAAAAAAAAAAAAAAAAAAAAAGACTTATTTACCACAGTTCCTGACTCATTATGTCTAGCTGTCAGCAAGAAAATTACAAGGCAGGCTAAAAAGGCAAGAAAGAACAAAATTTGAAGACTTTGACCCAGCACAAAAGAAAGCGTTTATTTTGAATTAAACTTTTTAACAAATTTGTAACAAAAGATATGATTAATAAATATTTGCAACATTCTAAGCGATAATGTATATTCTTGTTTCTTTTAATCACGAAGCACTTCTAGGACTTTTTTGCTGACATCTATAAGAATATGTAAGAGCACATTTTGTAGTCAAATAGCCACAATTCAAAAAACCATTCATTTTTATAAAATTGCAGTAATTATGTCTAAGACCATATCAATTAAATTGATTCTTTAATACTCTCAGGAAAAAATCTGAACCTATAATTCAAAAAAATTTTTTTTCTGTAAATAAAAACAAAGAAAGACCAAAGGCCATGGCTATATCGTTCATTCAGTGGCAAAACTCTTATTCACTGGTTTTAGGAAATAACATCTGACAAGGTTAATACAACCAATTTATTCCAAAGGTGAATGTTATCTCAGTAACAGTAGAAATGTTCCAAAGAAAAAACAAACAAAAATAAGAGCCACTATGGATAAATGAACAACCTTAACTACCATGAATGAAAAGCAGCTGCAGAATATATATTTGATAATGCGAATTTGCTAGTTGGGCAAATAAATATTTGTATATATATGTATATATATATATAGAGAGAGAGAAATTGCATATTTACAAAGAACCACTGAGATGTTGAAACAAGAGCTAAATTAGAGAGGGTTAAACTATGACAAAAGAGTAGTTTATAAAATGCAAAGCTCAAAGCATTAAGTAAATTTATTGGAGTGACTTAATAATTATTACATAGTTCTTAATTTTTGCACGAAGGTTGAATTGTTAATAAGTCATATTCAGAAAACAGCAATATTTACTCCAGGAATATTATTGGAAGAAATCAGAAGCCAGTAAGGACATACATGAAACAGGATTGGCTGTGGGTTGGTAATTCTCAAAGCTGTGTGATGGATATATGAGATTTCATAACACTCTGTTCCCTACACTTGTATTTCTCAAAGTTTTTCTCAATCTACTTTTCACATTTTTTTCTGACATTGAAAAGGTAAATGTATTCTGTCATCAGGATGTCAGAAGATTTTCATTCATATATTCATTGTTTATTTATTCAACATCAACCACATACTTGGTGGAAAGCTCTGCATTTATCATGCTTTTCCTCATTCCAACCAAGAACTTAAAGAGGAAGTAAAAGGACTGATGGAGCTCATCAACAGACTCTAAAGAATACCAGAACAATGACAATGATGCTGAATTTGTAACAATTATACAATATTCCCCAAACTTGATAGAGAACAAATGAATAAACCAAAGTAATCAGTAATCTGGCAGAATAATCAACAATTTGTTTTCAAAATTTTTGCCAACCAGAGCCACCTGCATCCAGCCTGTGCCCTTCAATGACAGGGAGAATTTTACACATTGGAATATTTATCTCATCATAAGGTCAGAATACTTCCAATTTTTGCTAGATAAAACTACTCAACTTTCTGCAACTTGCATAAAATTTTCTCTTCATTGCTGATGCTTTGTATTGAAAAAATGACAAATATAATCCACTTTATTGTTGGCAAAAAAAGGAAGGTGAGAAATTCAGCAATGAGTTGCTGCTTTGCTCCCTCAGCCCAACTAGCAAATTCACATTATCAAAGTCATCAATCAGCATTTCCTGTTTATTTATTTATTTTTTTGCTGAGCATCAGAGTGTTCTCAGTAACATATTTCAAGCAGAAAACTCAGCTACAATATACAGATTAATTATTGATAAATTTAGTCACAAACTTTTACTCTGTCAAAATTTAATGTAGATATCTGCTTGTTGTGTTTAAGACTGCCTCACTCTACTGTATAAAACAGACCCCCTCTCCATGCTAAAGTCTTATCTTAAACCCCTATCTATAACTACTCTGGAAATGATATATTTCTGTTTTGCAAAATATTTTATTTACTTATGAGTCATCCCATTTTCTCAGTAGCACCTGAAATCCAACTAGTTTCCAAGAGCTATTGAACTTGTTGATTCTTATAATATTTTTCATGTCTCTGCTTTGCTGTAGGCCCACATTGTTTCTCACATGGATTATGGCAATAACAATGGATTTGTCTCTTTTATTCCAGCAGTGACCCCACATGTCCATCATTCAATTGTTATGTGTTAGAGTGACCTTTCTAAACAATGTTATTGTCATGTGATTTCCTTGCTGAAAAGCCTTCAAGAGTTCCCGCTGGCTTAGAAAAAAATATCTGAACTAACAAGTTATCTAAACAAAGATAATTTGGAATGTTAGACTTTTGATGACATCATTCCGTCATACCTTCACACAGATCCCTAGTTTTAGCCACTGGTCTTAGCCTTCAAAATGTCATTTGTTGTGCTATTGCTCATAATCTCCTTCCATCTGTACATATTCAACTTTTCAAAACTGTTACTTTTTTTGAATCAGTTTCATTAAGGCCCTTGTTTTGGAAGCTTATCATCCCTTCCCTGAACTATCCCAAGTAAATATGTTTACCTATGTATTTCTAGTAGCCCAAATATATCTCTACCTTCACTTTTACACATTATACTTTGTTGGTTTTGTTAGTGGTCTTTACACTAGATTGAGTTTCTTACGGATGGGAAATTTTGCCTTAATTCTTTATATATCTTTGTATTAAATACTATGGAATGTATTAGAAACTCACTGGTCAACTGTGGTGGCTCATGCCTATAATCCTAATCCTAGTGCTTTGGGAGGCCGAGGCTAAAGGATTGCATGAGCTCAGGAGTTTGAGGCTGCAGTGAGGTGTGATCATGCCATTGCACTTCAGCCTGGGTAACAGAGTGAGACCTTGTCTGAAACAAAAGAAAAAAAAAAAGAAAGGAAGAAGGAAAAGAAAGAAATCCACTAAATGCTTGTTAAATAAATAAATAAATAGCTTATAATAATGATAACTGTTTTCCATAGAGCCCTCCTTTTTAATTCTGTCCTTCACTCTGATTTCATATTAATTTTAGAAAGTAAATCTTTGATCATTTTGTCACCATTAAAAAAAATCTTTAAACATTCTCCATTACCAATGGAATAAACTCCAAATGTCTCTCACACAGGTTCATTTTTTACCTTATTTCAAAAGCTCCTTTTGGATACCATGTATCCTAGCCAAGCAGAAATAATTACTCCCTGCCCCTTACACACTCCATGTCTATCGTTGCCTCCACACCTTTGATTATGCCTCCTCGTGCCTTTAATTTTTCAATATTTAAAAGTACGGATTTTTACTTAGAACAGAACATGGACAATCTTATAATATGGAATTCTATTTCACTTTGCACTCTAATGCTGGAGTAATTTTCTTATTTCTTCTATTGGATTAATTAAAAGCAAGGACTATAGGTTATAATTTTTATCTCCCATAGTATCACTGCATATCATAACTGATCAATAAGCCTTTGTTCCATGAAAAGTGAATGAATGAATGAATGGAGAATAAATGAATGGGGTGTGTGTGTGTGTGTGCATATACTAAGTTGATTACTGTGACTGAAACATGGAGATTGTGCCCTGCATTTCCTGAGCCCATTTTTTATGAAGGATTTCAGTTAAGTTGATCATATAAAGAAGATGATTGTATAATAATTAACAGGCAGTTAAGCCATTTTTAATGAGCAAAAGCAATTACTCCAAATCTCTTAAAAATAAAGTAATGAGAAGGCAAAAGCTGTAGCAATGCAGAACGAAGTTGAAAGAATTACAGATAGTGCATTTATCGTTAAGTTCAGCATATGTGTGCTTTGTTCAAAATGCTCATTTCAAACCTCTAGAACTTATGCAAAACTAGAAGGAAGAAGGAGGACAAAGGAATAAAGAGGAAAGAACATTTTGAATAACTTTCTGACAAGAAGAGAGAAACTGACTTAAATCAAAGCAGACCTATCTCCCGGAGGCATGAAAACTTAACCCAACAGTAGTTCTAATTAGACTGTTTTTAGAGCATGTTAACACCTCGTTATATTGAGTAGGCTCTGACCTTAACATGTTAGGTATTTTAATAATTACCTTGAGAATAGCAGAAAGTTTCCTTCTCTGTAACTTAAGTGTTTCTCTGAATTTATTGAAATATCAGATGCCACTATTTCATTTCAAATTCAGTGTTCACAAAATATATCCACCAATGTTTGGCCATGTCAGAAATGCATCCATGTGATCAGAGGAAAGATGGATGGGTGACTGCATTCCTGTGAACTATTATTACGAGTAATTATAAAGCCATCCTGTATAGTAGAATCATTACAGAAGGAAAATTTAAAACACAGACATGATAAATAAGTCTTTTCTGGAGGTCAATTTAGTACTGCCTAATAAAAAGTAATTCCACTTCTGGGCATTAAAGGTAAATAAGATATATAAAGACTCCCTTAGAGGGATGATCACTGCAGCACTGTTTATTAGGAAAAAAATTGTAATCAAGCCAAATGTTCAACAATAATAATGCTGCATTAAATACTAGGCAGCCATTAAGATAGTGAGTCAACTTATAATACTCAGTTGTGTAGCTGTTCACCAACGCAAAATATAAATACCCTAACAGTACATAAGGTATGACAATGAATTTGACAGTGCAGTGGTTGAGAATAGGGACCAGGCCTTGATGTCCACACATAAGGCCCTGTGTCCTGGATTCATTCCTTATCAGTATGTCATCAAGGTGGGTTGTTTAGTCTTTATGGGTCTAAGTTTCTTCAGATGCAAAATGGTTTGCCTTACAAAATGCTTTTAGGTGCCTAATATATTATGAAATATTTTTACTTCAGTGTTAGATACAACCAAAAAAAAAAATCTATCATTTCTCCAACATATATACGTCTGTAGGTCTACTCCATTTAGTTTCTGGTTTATAATAGCCACTAAGACATGAAGTAATGAAGTGGACCACACAATTTATATGCTCACTACATTTTGTTACTCTTAGCATATATTTGGGGACTAGAATGAAAGCAAAAGTATTTTCAGTTATATTATTATCCAAGATTGTGCAAACATTAGTGATATTTGATTTAAGAAGAAGCAACCTTTCATGTTCTAAAAAAGATACAATTCATTATTAAATTTCAACTGCATTAAGTCTTATATTAATAGCATTAAATTGCCTTTTCACCATGTTTATATTTCTCCTACAAAATAAGAAAAATGTCTTACAAAGGACAGGGTCTTATGCATAGAATCTGTGTCATTGCCTAACTGCATAATTATTTCAAATATGTCAGATATTTTGTTTATTTTCTAAGGCACTCTGATTCAAAAATAATACTTAATTTTCTCTTTCCCTTCTAAACCTGTGTTTTGCTGAGCAGCTGCAATTATTAGGAATGTGCTGTTATGCTAACCCTCAAAACCTACCTTCTCCACTTACCCATTCCTTTTTTGCCTTCTGTATGGCTGCCCTAACATGTTACCACAGATTTGGGAGCTTAAAACAATACCAATGTATTGACTTATAATTTTGGAGGTCAAAGTCCAAAATGGGTCTCACTGGGCTAAATCAAGATGTCAACAGGGCTGCATTCCTTCTGGAGCCTCTAAGAGAAGGTTTATTTCCTTTTATTTAACAGCTTCTAGAGGCCACCTGCATTCCTTGCCTCATGACCTCTTCCTCCACCTTCAAAGCCAGTAGGATAACACCTTCAAATATTCCTCCTCCCTCACTTTCTTTCCCTCCCCCTCTGTGTGTGTGTATGTGTTTCTGTCATCACATTTTGTGCTCTGCCTCCTTTCTCATTCTTTTCCTTCTAAGGGCCCTTATAACTATACTGGGTCTTTGTAATTATATTAGGTCTTCCTGGATAATCCAGGATTTCTCCATGTCTCAAGCTCTTTAACCGTTTGCCATGTAAAAGGTTCCAGAGATTAGGACATTGACATCTTGGGGACTCATGATTCTGAGTACCATGCCTTCTCTAACGACTCATTACCACCAGAGTAGTTTTGATTTGTGATCATTGCATTTACTTTTTTAGTTGTTCTCCATAAATTTCAGGCTAAATGTTGATGTCCTACCATGCAAGGCCCTTCTCCATCCATAGAACTCCATTTCCATCTTTAACTTGCACCGATCCTCTACCATACCTTTTATCCCAGCCATATGGACATTGTTCTGTACCCTCTTCTCTACATATGGCCTCCTCCCTTGGTCTAGATAAGAGGGAAGAGGGAATAAGTCAAGCAGTGACATGATAAACAGAGGAAAGAGGACAACTGAGTAACATATTTAGGAAGTAGAATTAACTTTGCTTAGTGATTACTAAATATGTAAAGTTTGAGCTGAGGGGTATAAGAGAGAAAACTAGGAAAACAAAATATGAATAAACAATGGGTTTGGGGTAGGGAAAGATGAAAATATACACTAGATGTTAGAATAAGAGAATTATTAACTTTCATGGATCTTCATGCAAAATTCGAGATTACTTTAATGTCTGTGACTTAGTGTGTATTTTAATTATTTATATCTGAAAAAAAGGAACTATTGCTGTCAAAAAATACTCCCCTAAAAGGGCCCATGGGTGTTCCTTTTTGACTCTTTTGCACAATCTTGCAACACCCTCAAAAATTATACATGATAAAATAATTTTTGATTTGCAGACTAGTGCCAAGCATCTTGTCAGCAGTAAAAGACAGTTGGCTCACAATCTTTAGATGCTGTTCAGTGCTTTTGATTTAATTCCAGGGGCAGGCTATGAATAGCTAACTTAGTGAGATTTGTCTTTAGTTTGCTTTCAAAGCCTTATTTGATGCCGATTCATAAATTATCCTTGCTGCATTACAGAATCTCATTATCCTTCATTAGAAAAAGCATACTAAAGAGAAGTTAGTATTACATGTCAGGCACTGCCTGTGGGATGAAAGAGCCAATGAAGGAAATGGCATTGCAGTTTCCTGGCACAAAGAGGCAACAAAATGCAGGCTCTAATCCTCTCATCTTTGATATGTAGCAAAACATAAGTCTAATAATACAAGACCAAACTTAGGCTGATATCTGATTAATAGATAAGAACAATGAGTACATGCATAAGTGAGGAGATGTTTATTATATTCTAGCCTCCCACAAAGTACTGTGGCTATCCCAGTGCCTGGCATATACTAAGTGATTGATCAGTAGACTTTGATTAAACGTGGATGTCAACTTTAATTTTTCCATGAGTGAAATCAATTGTATTTGTTAATCAGAAATTTCAAAATCTTCATAAAGGGGTATTATTATAAATATTCTTTACATAGCAGTTATTATAAAGTTTACAATGTTTTTTACTATTTCCCTACCCACATATACAGAGCATAATAAACCAAAGAATCAATACCAGTATGTAATTTTTTCCCTTATTTCGTTATTTGTTATAATGTTGCAAGGTACTTTAAATTGACAAAGTACTATAGAAAGCACTGTCCCTTTCCTCAAAGAGCTTACAGTATACTGAGGATGATACAGCAAATATAATGGGACAAATCAGAATACTCTTAATAGTCAAGTCACTCATTTCAGACACATTAACACCATTATTAAGATGTGCATGCTAAATGTCTAAGAACTGAATATTAACATAAATCAAAATTTTTGCTCAAAAATTTTAAAACAACTTCTGAAAATAAAGACTATCATTTATTGTATTAGTCAGAATTTTCCAGAGGAACAGAACCAACAGGATATATAGAGAGAGTTTAACAAGAGGGGATTTATTATGGAAATTGGCCATTAGATTATGGAGACTGGGAAGTCCCATGACATGCCATCTGCAAGCTGAATAACCTGAAAGCCAGTGGCATAATTCAGTCTGAATCAAAGGCCTGAGAACCAGAGGAGCCAATGGTGGAAGTCTCAGAGTTCTAAGGCGCAAGAACCTGGAACCCTGATGTCTAACAGCAGGAAAAGATGGATGTCCCAACTCCAGAAGAGAAAGTGAATTCACCCTTACTCCACCTTTTTCTTCTATCTGGTTATTCAGTAGATTATATTATCCCCCTCCCCTACATTAGTGAAGGCATATTTCTTTAGAGTCTACTGATTCTGTAAATGCTAGTTTCTGATTCTGTAAATGCTAGTCTCTTTCGGAAACATCCGCACAGACACACTCAGAAATAATGTTTTAGCAGCTATATGGGTGTCCCTTAACTCAGTCAAGTTACACACATAAAATTTAGCAGTAGAGGCATTTAGATTTTTGAGAAGCCTTTTTTGAAGAGGTTTAGACACATATAGAAGTCAATGATTCAGAAAACACAGGGCATTTAATTACAGCTGGACAAAACTTTGTGACATAAGGCCCTCTTGGTATTACCACTTTTGTTATTAGCTTAACTGCTAAGTCAAAAGGCTATATAAAATCAGATGTACAGAAAGAATGAGGAAGATAGGATATGAGGCCACATATAAGAGGGCTGGAGAGATTTTCAGATAAAAGCCAGATCTTTATGGCATTTTAAATTGTTGGGTCATGGGGTAAGGTGGTGGGGAGAAGGGGGAGGTAACCCACAGTCATTGAGCTGTGTAAAGGAGTAGTAGAGTTTGTGTGTGGGGGGGTGTGTGTGCGTATATACACACACACACACACACACACATATTCTTTTCTAGGGCATTTTCTAAATGAGTAGAAATTTCTGATTGGATTGTCAGAATATCATTTTTCTGACTAAATGAAAAGAAATTTCATTCAAATTCAAGTAAGGGAGCAGGTACTGATTTTATTGTTCCATACCTGGTCTACTTTGAAGATTCAAGAATTTGAAACAATCAAACCAATTCAGAGAAATGAATGCAGTCAGAGTTGACCTAATCAGATGTCCACAGGGAGCCATAATAAATGAAACAGACTCAGGATCAAAGTGCTGAAAAGATGATCATGATAGAGTTATGTGGTTCACTTATGAAAAGGAACTGGAGAAAGAGAAAAAGCAGAGCTGAATTTCATTCTTCTCCAGTGTGGTAACTATTAAAATGGAGTCGGAAGAGAAATAAGAAAAGAGCCACAAACATGCAGCCTCTAAAACAGTATTATGCTTTTTCTGAAGAAACACTTAATAAATGAATGTTATTTTAATAAGGGCAAATAAAAGGTCATTGAAGAAAAAAAGAACAGGATGCGTGAGATTTTTCAAGGATCCTCTTCTAAAAGACCTTTTTATAAGATAATGAAGGAAGAAAATTTAAATGACAGCAACAGATAAACTAAAGTTGTCACTTCTTCATCTTTTCAACCTGATTTTTCACTCATGCTTCATTTTTTTCTGATGGCTTATGGAGGAAAAATCTTTAGTTCTTTCATTTACTCATAGAGAACTGAAAATGAATGAGCTTTTTGGCAAGTAGTAGTAAACCCCCGGAAATTGCCATATTCAATGAAGACTGAAAGGCTCACTAAACTCAGTGTAAATAAAGGAAATGTTCCAATAGCTTAATTTTACTCTAATTAAATATTTATGTGAAAGAGTATGATGTATCTCAATAAAGAAAATGCATTCCATTTAAAATAGTTGCAAAACATATTGTCACCTTGATTTCTAGCAAGGAGAGATTGCATACAACATTGCATTCGTATTGAAATATAAAACACTGTCCTTTGTCCTGATTTAACCTGTCTCCTTTATGCAGCTAGATTCTTATTTTATTGCACTCATTTATTAGGTCTAACTTTTTTCTACGTCAAATTGAACTACTTAAAAATTTCAAGTTTAGTGTCTAAAGCAAACATTTAACTACTGTAAGCTCCTCATTATGTGTGTTGTTTTATAATATTGCTCTACTTGCCCATCCACTTGATCACCCGTGGTCGATTATAATAATAGCAAAATGCTTAGAGCAGCTGAAACCTGACTTGCTGCTGCTGAATCCTAATTTATTTTTAGAGTTTCCAAGAAACCAAATTGTTCAACCATGTTCACCTCCGTATATAAGATGTAATGTCAACTCAGGAACTGTCTACATAAAAATTTTTGAGATCACAAATACATTTCAAGGAAAGCACCCTTGGTGGCCCTTGCTTCTAAGTCTGGCTTTAAATATGCATCAGGACTGAAAAATGGTTATAAAGTAACAATTCTTTGAGGTCATGGTTTTGCTGCCTCTGAAGAAAATGTAAATGTCATCATTAGTAACTGCATTTCTGGGTGGGGAGATGGATGAATGCAAAGAAAAATCTGCAATAGCTTCATTATAGGCTTTGCAGAAACTGACACTTCATTCACTTAAAGAAGTGGAAACACTTTAATATACTATTCCAAATGGGTAGAAATAGCGTAGACATTGCAGTGGTAATTGGAGCCAAGCTGCCTTGTGCTGTATATTGAAGCCTTCCTAATTCTACCTCACTTCCATGGACAATTGAATGTTGGTTCACTGCTTGTTTTGCCTCAGGGTGATCAATTGCTAAGGGAAATATCCTCCACATTTTCCCATAAATGGAAATGATTCCTGTCTGATTCCATGACACTTTATTATATTTTGTATAAAATTGGCAGCCTTGCCTGTTGCACATTTCCAAATGGGAGGTGATTACTGAAAGACTTTCCCCATCAATTGATTTTGGTTTAGGATTCCCCGAATTCACATGTTTACTACTGTTATATGTGTCTCAACTATAAAATAACTAAAATTTTAACATTGTTTTGTTAATACTTTTATTTTTCCATTCCATTATATGAAATGGCAAAGTAGTTTAATAGAAGATTAGTACAAGTCATGTTCCTTAGCCCTGGAAGAATATCATATTAGGTTATTTTCTCATCCATAAACAAAATGAAGGATATGCAGAGGCCTACGATTATAATATTGCCAGGCGAACTCTTTGTAGCTAAGATTCCCCACATGAAATGTACCAGAATAAAATGTATTTATTTATTTATTTATTTTTGCTAAAGGATGGAGATAAGTTGCTTTTAATGTTCCATGCAGGTGGACTATATCTGAAATCTTCAAATGGAAAGTTTCTATCCAATATAAGCCATTCCCCACCCCGGTACTCAATAAATAATAATGCTGAACAATCTGGTGGACAAAAGTGAATTTGGAGCTGCTGTAAGTGTAATATAATTTTTATTCTGAGCAGCATGAAAAAATGGCCTCCAGCATTCATAGTTAGAAAAAACACTGTAGGTATTGGATCATGTGTCAAAATGGTTCACAATATTGTATAGTTTCAAGTTTTCAAGAAGTTAAGTTTTATAATAAACTAAATAATGCATATATCTTTATACATAAGGCAATCTGCGTATACTGAAGTTGTATACTCAAAAAGTTTACTGAAGGGAAATATATTTTAGCAAATTCAGTCATTATATTCTTTGATTAAATACTTCACAGTGATTCTGTTGGTGGGACTGTAAACTAGTTCAACCATTGTGGAAGACAGTGTGGTGATTCCTCAAGGATCTAGAACTAGAAATAACATTTGACCCAGCCATCCCATTACTGGGTATATACCCAAAGGATTATAAGTCATGCTGCTATAAAGACACATGCACACGTATGTTTACTGCGGCACTATTCACAATAGCAAAGACTTGGAACCAACCCAAATGTCTAACAGTGATGGACTGGATTAAGAAAATGTGGCACATATATACCATGGAATACTATGCAGCCATAAAAAAGGATGAGTTCATGTCCCTTGCAGGCACATGGATGAAGCTGGAAACCATCATTCTGAGCAAACTATAGCAAGGACAGAAAACCAAACACCGCATGTTCTCACTCATAGGTGGGAACTGAACAATGAGAACGCTTGGACACAGGGTGGGGAACATCACACACCAGGGCCTGTCATAGTGTCGGGGGAGGGGGGAGGGATAGCATTAGGAGATATACCTAATGTAAATGACGAGTTAATGGGTGCAGCACACCAACATGGTACATGTATACGTATGTTAACAAACCTGCACGTTGTACACATGTACCCTATAACTTAAAGTAGAATACAAAAATAAATAAATAAAACAATGCTTTACTGAAAAAAATAAAATAAAATAAATACGATCATTGTAAGGTAGGCCTTTGCCTATTTTATTCTATTTTAGATACTTCATTTTTAGAAGGAATCTGGAAATTAGTAAGCATTCCATGGAAGTACATTCAATGAGGAAGATTATTTATCCATAAAACCAATATTGTTCATATTTCATTATGAGTAAAAATTTAAATGGATCCCTTAAAGCCAAAAACTATTATTAATAAGTAGATACAATTACAATATCCAGCTTAGGAAAATAACACAAGCAATTTGAGAATAACATTTTTTAATACACAATAAAATTAAACTTTATTGGCAAACAATCTTAAATAGAGTAAAAGTCGGGATCTGGTTTCTCTGAGCTACGAATATTACTTGTAAATTTCACCACTAAGCCCTGAAGAAATATGAAAGGAAAGTGCATACATGAGCTAGGAGTAGTTAATGGCCAAATATGTTTTAAAAATCATATACAATTTATCTCTCTCTCAAGTAGGCTTGCAGCAAAAGTATATATTTAACTTTTTAACCCCATGTACTCCAAACTTATTTGACTGTGGAATCTTTTATTCCAGGAACATCTATTAATACCTCGGAGAATAGCATTCTCTTTAAAGAAAACAATTTTAGGAAATTCAATAACATTGCATAGTTACAACTATTTCCCAAAACAACTTATAGATGCAGGTTAATGCAGCTCTATTCATGATCTAAAGAATTTTTGGTGGTAGAATGGGGTGTTATTTCAACTTCAATTAATCTGTTTATATGTTGCCTGTAGTGAACATAAATAATTTTATCAGGGAAAAAAAATACATTTTACATTCTAGTTAAGACCTGTAAATTCATGATTGGAGGCAATGTCTCTGGTCCCAACACAAAATGACTATGAAATGAAATTACTGTGAAAATGTGTCTTATGAAGTACAATAAGAAAAAAGTTAAAAGCACATAGCCTCATTCAAAAAGAAAAAAATTATCTGTAGGGAGTAGAACTGAGAGGAGAACCAGGGTAAAGTTTATGGCCTCCAGGAGGAATTGGCCTGGGATTGGTTTCAGGACCAAGTCAAGGATTAAAATCATTACATGTGAAGAGGGAAACAGAGCAGATAGAGTGGAGTTGGGCTCCTTCAAAAAAGACGATCTCTAGGAATTAGGGCAAAGCACATTAAAGCACACATGAAAAACTGCTTCACACTCATTTATTTTGGCAAAAAGCAGAAAACAAACAAAAAAAGTCAAATCAGGCAATTTGAGCTACTAGTAAAGAGAACTTTTCTATGCTGCTGGTGATGGTTTCGATAGCTAATGTTTATTGTATACTTAATGTGTTGCAGACACTCTTCTAACTACTGTATATAAATATTTAGTCTCTACTGCAACCCAGGAAAATGGATAATATTGTTGTGTTTATTTGATGAATTAGAAAACTAGGTAGCCGAGGAATATTTTGCCAAGGTCATACAGCTGGTTGCCAGGGAATCTGACTCCAGAATCCATGTCCAGAAACAACCTACTGCAAGCCCTGAGAACATAAAATGGTACTATTACTTTGGAAAGCAGAATGGAAAACTACAGTAAAAGGGAAGAGGTATACACCTGAAAACCACACATTTCCACTTTTGGATATCATTCCTATTCTACATAGAGTCAGAGAGGCGAATACAAAAAGAATCCTTGCAATATTATTTATATTAATAGTAGACACACATAGTATTTATTTTGCCTAAGAACAATTGTTATATTTATTGGCCATATTATTCTCTACAACAATCCCTATAAGGGAGTTTCTATTAATATCTCCACTTTAAAAATGAAGAGGCACAAAGATTTATGTTTATAATAGCAAGATAGTTGAAACTACCTCAATGCTCATTAATAAGAAAGCAGAGTTTTAAAGCCTAATATATATATGTAAGGAAAGCTTTAATCCGCCATACAATGAATAGTCTATACCTAAATGTAAAAATCTAAAAATATAAACTTTCTAAAGCTTATTGATTCTAATATATTTTAAAAGCATGAAAACTTAAGATAAATATTTTACATGTACTTAGAAGATTCCCTTTAAGTTGAGAGGGAAAAAAATGGAGTGGAAATTGTTCACTAATGACTGCCAGTATCTATATTGATTCAAGTTTTAAACAATATAAGCTCTAAAGTTAATATGGACAAATATTAAATTTTTTTAAAGCTGAGTGGTGAGTATACTACTGTTTGTTATATAATTTTCTATATTTTACATATGATTATTATATTTTATACTAAAATGTGTGACAGTAAATTGAAATTGTTTTCGTCATGTATTAATCAACCTGACATTAACTTTATTAATTTCATTAATACTGACTTGCACAATTAGACAAGTTATCATGAAAAAATAGCTAATAATATTTATCATTTATTGGAAGTGTATTTTCTGAAGCCCTACAAGTTTTTATATTCTTTATTCATTTAACTATTTTTAAAATTGCTTTAAATAGATGTAAATGTTGCTGAAATTGCTTGCTAAAGACAAAACTATTAATGGATTGAGCTGGGACTAATACAAAAGTTAGTCTGTTACCTACTTCCATGGAGCTGTGCTACATCTGTAAGGACGTAGTTACCAGTACTAACTACAGAGCTCCCAGAGTCATTAAAAGGAGATGTGTCTGGCCTCAGTAACCTTCTTGTCTGGACATAAGCCCAATGCAACTAACTGAATCATCTGGATATGGGTCCAATGCCAAAAACTCTTTAATCACATAGTCCCCACGATTATTGTATCTTCACCTCTCTTTGTGAGATCTGGATTATGCCTAGAGGTTTAGAGTTGGCAGAAAGACAATGTGCACTGGAAATAGAAAAAGTTCAGGGTAGTTAATGAGAAGAAAGGAGTTCATATGAGTCAGTTTCAGCAGAACAAATTTCTGAAACAGTCCTTAAAAGTATGTAGAATTGTTGTAACAAACGACATCACCTATGAATAATATGTTACTTTTAATTATATTAAAGTTTATTTCAGCTTAGATAGTTGTTTTTTTATTCTGAATAGAATTACTCCTAATATTAATAAATTCAAAATCTCAATATTTTTCTTTTAATTCATTTTTACCAATACGAAGCTATAGCTTTTAAAACTGTTGCTAATAAATGATGTTTTACATATTATGTTCATAATTCTGATGACATTGAGAATGAAAAATCTAGTCCTACAATTCAACATCCAGTGTTCCACAAAACACAAGGAATGTGATAGGACTTTCACAGTGGCTTCATATTGCCGATTACATCTACATATTGACTTCAACAAACTGAGACCTTTAATTCTTACCTTCCTCTATGTTGAACATTTTCAAAAAATTATAAAGCCACCATTGTGATTAAATTTAACTTTGTGTCATGTTTAGTTTCTTTAACTCATCTGTCATCAATTTTCTCATAGACAAAATATAGTGTAGAATATCTTCAAAGCTAATTTAATATATAAATTTGTACCTTTTTAAAATTATATGTGATAATATAATATATATTTGCAATCCTTACATATACAACATTCCCATAAATTTTTTCTCATAATTTTCACTCCAAATCAATATCCTGATAACTATATTACTGTCCTTTGTTCTTGTGGTCTATTGATGTGTAACAAAAAGGGGTTTATAAGGAAAAAGGAACTTATATTTTGCATGTACAGATTAGTCAAATGAAGGATCAGAGAACATCTTTAGAAAAAAAAGATATGAAAGTTGTAGAAATTATCAAGGCAGGTTAGAAAATGGAAAGGCTGGAGCAACTAGAGATAAACATTGCTCATTTCATAAGTTTGCCTATATGCCTACATATCACTCATGGAAATTGAGCTCCTATAAATGAATCTACCAGTTATTTCTGAATTAACATATTAGAACCCAACACTAATTTCACTTTGAATCAGCTATACCCTAGAGTTGAAACCTGCTAGATCTAAAGTCCTTTCAAATGCTAAGAGAAATGCATCATTAAAAGGCTGTGGGAAAAAGAGATCAGCTTAGCTGTCATTTCCTGTGGCATTAACTTGGAAAACAGCTCATTTCCATATACCTTTTCAGGCCCTGTAGATATTTTAGATACTTAATTTTAATGCATGCTAAATCATTGCACCCTGCAATAAAATTTTCTCATTTTACATCGGCAAAGACTTTAAAAGAAAAAAAAAAACAGAGCATCAAACTGGCATTTTTCCCCCAGGAAAATATTTAAATTCAGTTTTCAATTAGGCAGATAATTGTACATTTGAATGAGGGAACGCTTTATCAGTAAACTTCTTTTAGACTGAGGCTGGATGGGCTCTGTGTATACCTATCCCACTACATCTCATTTTGTCTCTCTGGCACTGATGATAATGTAGTAAAGAACATGAACTGTTTACCTTCAGCTCAAATAATGAGTCAATGGGTCTGCCAGATGAATACCAATAGCATTATTCATTATCTTGTGACAGTTACATTTTTGAAATATCTCATAGCTTTGTTGGTCTATATCTACTAATTCTTCAAGGGCAATTTCCCAACCTTCAAGAAAGAGTGCACAGAGCAACACTGATTCTGGAAAAATAAGACAGATGTTATTTGCATAATTTAGCCATGAATTTCTGAGTACCTACTGGTTACTCAGATTTTTCCTAAGGGATATGTAAATTATATTTATCATACTCAAGAGTAGTCCTTTCTCTTTTGATTTGATAAGGGGAAGCAGACTCTGCCTCCCATAGGGAAGAGTAGCTTCTTTTAAGGAGCACTGCCATTTTCTCCCATATGGGTTCTCTTATTTTATCAGGTAGATTTGGTGAAGCAATGGTGGAGTATACATTCTATGATGGTACTTTTCAATTATCCCTATGGAAGATGGCTAGTCCAATAGTTGGATCTCTGAATTTAAAATATGAGGTACTTAGGAATTTCTATTCTTAGCTTTGGGTCTTAGCATCAATTGTAAAACAACAGAAAAATCTCACTCAGGACACAATATCTATTTACATGAGAATGAGTAAAGATATAGGTATGGAGAAGGAAGGAAGAGAAATCAAAAGAATTGGTATTTGATAGTTCTCGTGTCTGTGGGAAATAAAGATAAAGTTACACTGGGGAGAAGATAGCTGGTTTGACCTCCGAAATCATTGTTTGTATAACTATTGGGAAATGGAAAATGAATGACATGAAAAATTAATACTATGCACTTTAAAGATTTATCTGAGTTGGGAACTTATACTCAAGTGAATCAAATCAGTATATTTATATAATTTTCTTAAACAGCATTTGTTTATTGTACAGGCTTGATTCTTAATTGAAGAGCTGCATAAAAGCTATAGCTGAAGTCCATGGGGACCACGGGAATTGAAGAAACTTGGAGAGTATGTTTTAAATAATTTATCTCTTAGTTAATCTCCTTGAAGCAGGGTATTAGAAAACAAAATTTTGAAAACTAGTTGTTTTGAGAAACTGAACAGATCTCACAGTCAAGGAAAGATTTGTGTGTTAATCCAATGCCATTCAAATTGAAAGAGAAGAGCCGTAGTTGTGAGATAAGCATATGCAGAATTATGAAAAGGGAGTCAAAACCAAGACAAATAGGCTAGCAAATAATAGGGACTAAACGTAGGAAAGTTAGCTTTACTTCTCAGAAGCTACACAATGGTTTCATGAACTGTGTTCAGAAATAGGGAAGGATAAAAAAAAAAAACTGGCTAAAAAAATGGTGTATTGTTCACTATTAGAAATGTTGCCTTTGAGTCATCATGGATCTCCAGGTAGATATGTTCAATGGATATAGGAGTTGTAAGGTTAGGGAAAGATCAGGGTAAAATGTGATAATCTAAGTATTATAAACCAAACGTTTGTGTCCACCCAAAATTCATTTGTTGAAATTCTAATTCCCAAATATAATTATATCAGAAGGCGAGGTATTGGGAAATAATTAGGTAATGAGGGTGGAGCACTCATGAATGAAATTAGGGCCCTTACAAAAGAGACCCTAAGAACTCTTTTACTCTTTTTCTACCATGTGAGGATAAAAGTAGAAGTTGGCGGTCTACAATCCAGAAGAGAGTCCTCATCAGAACTTAACCATGCTGGCACCCGGATTTCAGACTTCCAGTCTCTAGAATTAGGAGAAATAAATTTCTGTTGTGTCTAAGCCACTCAAACCAAGGTACTTTGTTTTAGCAGCCCAAACTGACCAAGACACTGTGCATGTAGACAACAGTTAAACACGTGTGAATAGAGAGATTTTTCAAAGAGAACAAATAAGATGATCAGTGGGTGTGTGAAAGGTGGAATGGCGACTCATAAGGAGGTATAAAGGGGTGGAGGAGGAATAGGAGACCTGGTGGAGACTTGGAAAGGAAGAGTCGAAGAGAAAACAGGAGAATTAAGAGAATGAAGGTACAGATTGGTAATCACATCTAGAACCATTGTGGCATTTTTGAGAATAATTGTATGAGCAGTTTGATTCTAATTCAAATATTTAGCTTAATGTCTCCAGTAAAATTTTCAATTTTACAAATTAACTTTTTCTCTTGTTATATAAATCTTACAAGTAATCATAATTAATGACCAAATATTTAAAATTTTAAAGAAGTATGAACTATACTAGTTTTGTCAATCTAGAATGATCTTATTCAAAGTATTTTAAAAATTAATCATTTTGAATCTAAAATTAGAGATCTAGAGAAAGAGTGAGATAAACATAAAACAGAGAAATTATTCATGGTATAAACAATTTTTTTGACTACTATTGTGGGAACTAATTCCTTTTTCCAAATGAATGTTTGCCTCCAGGCAAGGTAAATAATTTGGAAAGGCAAAAATTCTTTTGTGACTCCATTTATAACCCACATAAAACACATTCTTCTAAAGGTTATATTTTATCTCAGTGACCTACTATCACTTTATAATATATTAAAATATTCTGGTCCTGCCTTTCCTGGTATCACTGTGCTCACTGTTTCCTGGTTCTGCACCTCACACTGATTCCCATGTGATTCCCATCCCTCTGAGACCTGGTGACTTCCTGTATTGGAGTGAATACAAAAACAAAGCAGTTTTGGTCTCTCTGCAGTTTTTCAGGTTCAGACTTTAAAGTGCTCTCTTCATGAGCTATATTTCTATCATTCTAGCTATTTGTTTGGATTTTCTTCTGGCCACGCAGATGTCTGTGATAACAGTACTTACCAATATTAACTCTCCTTCAGTATGTCCTCTGCCCAAATCCCTGCCACAGTTGTGTGAAACTGGCTTGTCCCTCTCCTCTGAGATAGCAGAATTGGGGTTATTTAGACTGTTCTGACCCTTGGAATAGGGAGGAGTAAAGAGATTTACTCTAAGATTAAGTATGGCCTTTAAAAAAATCTTTCTTCAAAGCATTAAGAAAATCCTCTCTGGCTATATTTTGTGTTGAGCTAAAAATTGCCTTAGTAATAAAATCAGCTCACTTAATTCTCCAGATCTTCATGAAGTAGTGCTTTCACTCTTATTATTCCCATTTTAGATGTAGGGACTGAGGCACAAAGACACCCAAGGTCATGGAGTTAGTGAGTAGGAGTCAGGGCACATGACCCGTTTGTTTCCCAGTATGTATGCTGTCTCCTGTACAGCAAGTCTCAACAAGGATTGGAAAGTAGAAAGACTGAGGTGAAGGACAGAGCTTTATGCCAACTTACATGTGGCTGCATAGTACTACACAATGTGCTCACCAGGTTTCTGACAACCTAGCAGAAAGCTAAACCCTTTCCCAGGTCTCTGAGTTCACTGGGCAGACAGAGAGGAATGGACTGTCTTCCTACCTTCTTTCAGATGGCCAACATTTGCTGATACATTTCTTAGAGTAAAGCATGGCAGGCCACCAATGTTTTTTTCCACCCCAAGTGCATTATCTTTAGAATAACTACAAATTTCTTTTAAAATACGACAATCTTTTGACCTTTAGTCTTGATCCTTTATATTGCAACTATTCTATTTTTCTGAGCCATTTTAGATATTTTAGTGCAAGGTTGAAAGAAGGCTGCTTCAAGGTCTCCCAGAGACAGGTTTTCTTTTAGCTGGGAATCTGCCATTAAATGCTCTTGGTGGGATGAGTGACAACATCAGAGCTGTGTTTCTGAGAGATTTATCTGGCAGCAGTTTGTAAGATACATTGCAATGGGGCAACGTGGATTTTACAACTATTATGTTCATTTATGCATGAAAAACACTGACATCGAATTTCCTCCTTCTGAGCTAATACTGGTTATAGGAACTTCCTGAAGTTTGCTCCAGTCGCTCCAAATAATATAGGGTTGTATGAGAAAAATCTGGCTGGTTAAATGTTGACTTATTTAACTAACATTAAGCAATCAGGAAGCTCACCAATAATGCCATGCTGCATTTTTTAAATGTTTGATAATTTTAGCATTACCTTTTTTTCTAGGCATAAAATCACTTTGGGATAATATTATTCAGAAAATTAATCTAGTCTTAAACCTCGATATCCCTTTAGATCCATGCATTTTCACTCTGACAGGTGAAATAAAAGATGTTATAAAGACTAGTAAAAGACTACGATAACTGAAGTCACTTCTTGGCAAAAGGAGACTGCCCTAGGTAGACATCAGAGCTGTAAATCAATAGTTAAATAAGATATATCATATTGGTTCTATATGATTAATAGTAATAATTTTTTTAGATATATAAACTAACTTAATAATACTAGGTCAACCTGGTAGTTTTTGGAGCTGACAATATTAAGCCTTTTATGTTTTAAAATTCATCTAATATGTCTCTCATAACTATAAAGTTGTAACATTTCTCTGAATTGTGGGTCTCTGAAAATAATAGGAGAGATATTTAACAAACATGCTTCTTTATGATTTATTTTGAAAATAACTTTTTATGATTGCAGTAGAAAAAAGCCTTTGTAAACCCTTTTTTCCCTCTTTTTCATAGGCTGCTGCCAAGAGGAAATGAATGGTGTCTTTGAGATATTCACAAACATCCGGTGCGGATGGGGAAGCTCACTTTGAGAGCCAGCGTTTATTCTATTTTCTGTATTTGATCCATTCTCAACAAAGGCCGTTCCCAACCCTATCTTTCACAGTGTCTTTCTGCTGCACCAGATGTTGGAATAAATCTGTATTTCTTTATCAAATACTCATTCTCCCTGTGTTGCTCTCACTTGTTCTCTTACTCTAGGACCTGGGGATATTGAGATCTGAAATGTGCCCTGAAACCTCAGTCACTCCTCCCAGACCCAGTACAAGGGGAGGTTCTGGGACAAATAAGCAGGTCAGGAATAAAGTATTTGTATGGCATGTGCTTCCTATGAAAGCCTTGTGTACTAGTATGTATGCAACCTCCCCAAGGGTGACCGCATTGGGTGAAACCAAGAGTGAGCTTCAGGAATATCCTCCTGCTAAGTGGAAACTTTCTCCTCCTTCAGGAAAAAAATCTATTACTTGAGGAAGTGTAAACATATTGTGTAACACCACTTCCCCCTCCAGTCATTCTTTTGCACATACAGAACAAAGAAGAGTGAATCTTTCTGCCTTTTCCCTACACCTCATGGATATGACATGTAGCCTATAGGAGTTTTCTACGCTATTTTAATGGCCCCAGTATAATTTTCAAGGAATACAGACATACAAATATTATTATAGTAATACTTTCCTTGTAACTTCTAATTAGTAGTAGCAATAACATATTCAGAATTAACCATGCCCATCAAGTTTCTATAATGTCAGCCATTCTATTTATCTCAAGGCCTGCCTGCAGCCCCTCATAAGAGAAATAATTATGTTTCCCATGCTTGCTCTGCAGTTCCAGTGGCATTCTCCTCTTACTCTTAGCCAACCTAACTCTTAAGATTTAGGTGAATTCCTTTTCTGGTCTTCCTTCCCCAGTGGGCTACTGGCCTAGTCCTTCATTGAGTTCTACCTCCTTTTCTCAAGTGGAAGCTCTCTCTTTAGTTAGTTCCGTCCTGCTCCAAAGAACCTAGTTCTTTTTTTTTTTTTTTTTTTTTTTTTTTTTTGAGACGGAGTCTCGCTCTGTCGCCCAGGCTGGAGTGCAGTGGCGGGATCTCGGCTCACTGCAAGCTCCGCCTCCCGGGTTCACGCCATTCTCCTGCCTCAGCCTCCCAAGTAGCTGGGACTACAGGCACCCGCCACTACGCCCGGCTAATTTTTTGTATTTTTAGTAGAGACGGGGTTTCACCATTTTAGCCGGGATGGTCTCGATCTCCTGACCTCGTGATCCGCCCGCCTCGGCCTCCCAAAGTGCTGGGATTACAGGCGTGAGCCACCGCGCCCGGCCAAGAACCTAGTTCTTACCTTGTTCTTCCACTCTGTAAAATTTTCAGTTCCCTGAGGAATACCCTTTTCAATATTTTTCAGCCTTTAGCCAGTTTTCAATGTCATAAAATATTATGTGAGCTGGCAGCTATGGCATGAATGGAGATTTCACAAGACTGGCTTGTGTATGATGGTCTAACTGGGGGTTAAGACAGGGAACACAACTAGAAGATAATGAGGATGGAAGAAAATAAGAAGGGCCAAGATTTGTCTTTTGGTCACATTTTTCTGATATGGGAAGCGGGCAGCGAAGTGCTGGTAGAGAAGTGTGGGGTCTTTGGTGAGGACTCCACCCTTGAGCCTATGCCCATAGAGCTAAGTGAGGACAGACATTTCTGTTTTCGTACCCAGAAGGTTGCCTTTTGGCCTACTACACCCCCGATCCTGTGCCCATTTAAACCAGAGACTTTAAGCAGGCACAGACACAAGCAGCTGAGCAATGAGAGGAGCAGAGGAACAGAGCAGTGGAGAGCAGTGAAGAGTGTGGCAGGGTGGCATGGCAGAGAAAGAGAAGAGAGGTATATACCCAGTAATGGGATTGCTAGGTCAAATGGTTATTTCTGGTTCTAGGTCCTTGAGGAATTGCCACACTGTCTTCCACAATGGTTGAACTAATTTACACTCCCACCAACAGTGTAAAAGAGTTCCTATTTCTCCAAATCCTCTCCAGCATCTGTTGTTTCTTGACTTTTTAATGATTGCCTTTCTATCTGGTGTGAGATGGTATCTCATTGTGGTTTTGATTTGCATTTCTCTAATGACCAGTGATGATGAGCTTTTTTCCTATGTTTGTTGGATGCATAAATGTCTTCTTTTGAGAAGTGTCTGTTCATATCCTTCACTCACTTTTTGATGGGGTTGCTTGTTTTTATCTTGTAAATTTAAGTTTCTCATAGATTCTGGATATTAGCCCTTTGTCAGACGGATAGATTGCAAAAATTTTCTACCATTCTGTATGTTGCTTGTTCACTCTGATGATAGTTTCTTTTGCTGTGCAGAAGTTCTTTAGTTTAATTAGACCCCATTTGTCAATTTTGGCTTTTGTTGCCATTGCTTTTGGTGTTTTAGTCATGAAGTCTTTGCCCATGCCTATGTCTTGAATGGTATTGCCTAGGTTTTCTTCTAGAGCTTTTATAGTTTTAGGTCTTAGGTTTAAGTCTTTAAAGTCTTTAATCCATCTTGAGTTAATTTTTGTATAAGGTGTGAGGAAGGGGTCCAGTTTCAGTTTTCTGCATATGGCTAGCCAGTTTAAGGATTATAAATCATGCTACTGTGAAGACACATGCACATGTATGTTTATTGCAGTACTATTCACAATAGCAAAGACTTGGAACCAACCCAAATGCCCATGAATGATAGACTGGATAAAGAAAATGTGGCACATATACACCATGGAATATTATGCAGCCATAAAAATGGATGAGTTCATGTCCTTTTCAGGGACATGGATGAAGCTAGAAACCATCATTCTTAGCAAACTAACACAGGAACAGAAAACCAAACACCACATGTTCTCACTCATAAATGGGAGTTAAACAGTGATAACATATGAACACAGGGAGGGGAACATCACACAATGGGGCCTGTTGGGGGGTGGGGGGCTAGAGGAGGGATAGCATTAGGAGAAATATCTAATGTAGATGATGGGTTGATAGGTGCAGCAAACCACCACGGCATATGTATACCTATGTAACAAATCTTCACATTGTGCCAATGTATCCCAGAACTTAAAGTGTAATTAAAACACACACAGAAAGAAAGAAAGAAAGAAAGAAAGAAAGAAAGAAAGAAAGAAAGAAAGAAAGAAAGAAAGAAAAGAAAAGAAAAGAAAAGAAAAGAAAAGAAAAGAAAAGAAAAGAAAAGAAAAGAAAAGAAAGAGGAGGAAGGACTTATGGACGCTGAGGAGAGTTCAGCCAAGGGTGGTCGGAGAAGACTTCGGTCGCTGGGCAGCCCTACTTCAGGGGAAGATCACCTTGTCACTCCATCCTCATCTTCAGCTCCCCATCCATCTCACTGAGAGCCACCTGCACCACTCAATAAACCTTGCACTCATC
Source organism: Homo sapiens (assembly GCF_000001405.40). Taxonomy (NCBI): domain Eukaryota; kingdom Metazoa; phylum Chordata; class Mammalia; order Primates; family Hominidae; genus Homo; species Homo sapiens. The sequence continues at coordinate 104,615,763 of NC_000011.10, read as the reverse complement.
CTTGCAGCCCACATGTGCTCTGATTCTTCCAGTACACTGGGCAAGAACCCAGGTTGTCACACTTGGCCCCCTTTCTTCAGATAAGGCAGAGGGTCTAATTAAGTTGATTAACACAAGCCATCTGCAGACGGCAAAGCCGAAAGCACACTGTAACATATGCCCACTTGGGCTTTAAGAGTTGTAAACACTCACCCCTATAAGCTGCTGTGGGGCCAGAGCCCCAAAATGCTCCTCATGATCTATGCACCTGCCCGTCTGCATGCTCACCCTAGGGGTTTGAGCATCTGGGCATGGAAGAAGCCAGCCACACCCAGGTCACACGCCCTGCCAGGGGGATAAGGGAACTTCTCTCATTTCAATTTCACATTTCTCAAAATTTAGCCTATGCTACGCTTCCACCCTGTATTTGCCTTCCTTCTCAACACTTAATTTCTTTTTTCCCTGCCCCTTTGACTCCAATACTAATTTGCAGTGCACTTCAACCTGGAGCAATGACACAAGATTTTACATTTGGAGTAATATACTAATAGAGCAGCAGTGAAGATGTGGCAGAAGCCAAGGAGGCTTATCTTCATGTTAGGGACACAATATGTGGAGCCGTTATATCCAGATAAGTAAATTCACCCATTCCACATGAGTAGAGTCACTATCTTAGAAGAGTGGCTAATCTGGCTTCCTGCAACCCTCTAATATCTACTTTTTCTTCTATCAAAACAACTAGAAATGCAATGATATAGAAGTTTCCAAATTTACTATAGAAACAACCTCCTTGCCAGTTCCTAATGCTTTGGCTCTCCCTTCCATTTCCATTGTGCTAAACTAGAATCATGTTAAACAAACAAGAAAGCTTCTTTATCAGAGTACAAAGATTAAAAAAGTCAACAACTTAATAAGTGTAAATAAATTTTACCATGTTTTTCAGAAAGAAATGCTCAGGCATTAAAAAGTTTGAATCTTACAAAATTAGTTGTGAATCAGGTACTAATTAATATATGATTAGACATTTTGAGACCCAAAATCAAATGAGAGCTTGGCTATCTTACCCTGAGAGAGAAGAAATCACTGAAAGGCAAATCTAGATAAAAGTCTTTGAGCAAGAACAAATGTCTCTGAGTGAGAGGTCACTCTGAGGATCCCCTAAAAGCACAAGGAATACCTTATGGGAGTTCCTAAAGGGCCAGATATTGGTATAACTGCTTCACAAAGCTGTCATTGAACCTAGTTCAGATATGGCCTGACTGCAGATATTGTACAAATGCAGTCATGCAAAAGACTCACAAAACCTTTGGTTTTCTTCTCAAACAGTCATTTTTGAAATAAATCCCAAGAAGTCAACTCCAACATGATTTCTAGGGAAGAAACTAAGCAGCTTCAGTTTTCACACTTTGTTTTCAGTTTCCAGTTGCATATTCTAACCTGTTGAGGAGTTTCATTTCTACTAAACACTATGTATTATAGATATATGTATACAGATATAATACACATACTCTATATACCCATAGTGTGTAATATATGAGTGTGTCTATATATTATATATATGTGTGTGTGTATATATATATATATAAAATATATATTTTTTTCTTTCTCGGATACTTTGCAAAATACTGACTCTCTATATATAGTATATAAGGTATATATATATATATATGGGGTCAATATTTTGCAAAGTATCTGAGAAAGAAAAATTATTTCACAAATTTTCTTATTAGTATATTCCTGGAAATTTTAATGGACCCTCATTCTGTTTTTTATACTTGAAGTAATAGATCAACTCTCCTGAGTGACATCACAATGTGAACATGAGTACTTAACAGCTACACAAAAAGAAGAAACATAAATCTGTAATAACAAGCTACAAATGCCCTTTCTATATTAGTTGAGTATTTTAAGCTCCCTTTATAGATAAGATGAGCTTCCAGTTTCACATCTGATTCTTCATTCAGGTGAGTTTTTCACCTTTCTTACTGGTGTCAGAGTGAAAGCTTTTATTCATTGTGCATTTTTCCCCCTCCTTACACAGTTTCAAAAGAGTTAAAATTTTAGGAGCTATAGAAAATGTATGGGCACTTAAACAAGACAGTGCATAAGCTAAATCCAAGTTACACCAATTTCTGACATGCAGTATATGTTAATTTATTGAGCCGTAGGCTTATATCTATGTAAAGGAAAGAATAACATCTACCAAACAAGTTTAATGTAAGAACGTAATGAATAACATATGCAAAGAATATCATTGATACCTAATAAGTATTCAATACAAGCTGTTATTGTCACAGATTTACATGTATTAAATCATCTGAGTTTTTTCTACATAAAATTGTTGAGATTTTACTTGATGAATGGGTAAAGAAAGAAAAATGTTAAATTATATATTTATTTTTTAACCAAATATTAGTTGAGCATTATACCCAGTTGTGCCATATCCTAGATAAAATGAATAAACCATGTCATCTAACAGCTCAAAGCTAAGTAGGGAAGACAGAAACACAAACATAATTACAACAGACTCTGAAAAGTGTACAAATTAGTATATGCATGAAGTATACTTGTGACTGATATAAGGGGTTTCAGTTAAGTATTCACAGAAAGAATACTTGGCCAACTCTTAAAGAATGAGTAGAAGTTCTTTACATATAACTTAAATATAAAACTACCTCAACCTTAAGTACTACAGAATACATAAACGAGTGCTCTAACAGTGAACAGACTCAAAAAACTTGATATGACCTTGTTTATAAGACTAGATCACTTTATTGATGAACTTAATAGCTCCTTACATATATCCCTTTTTGCTGAACCTGCATTAGGAATATTGAAATGCATTCTCTCTCTTTGTTCAGCCTCCTTGAACTTATCCACTCTATATATGTATAGAATCAAGAAAACAGCTGGGAATTTTTCCCTGGAGTTGCTTTCTTTTCAGCATTTATTATTTTCCTTCCTTTAAATAATATCCCATCTGCTTTTGGGAAACTACTAGTTTCGCATTATTGGTTATGCAATTTTGATGGTACTGCCTAGGGTTTATTCGCACAGCTCACACTCTTGGCCACAGTGATTGGGGTCAAAGAAAGGTTCTAACACGTTGATTATTTATTGGATGAGTTCACTAATCAATGGATGTATGCAGGCTTCAGCCAATAGGCACATTATATTTTCCTGGCCATCAGGATTGCTACAGATATTGACCAGTAATTTAGTCCAGCCCCAGAGGTGTGATCCTTAGAACAATTGTTAGGCCTGTGAGACAACAGCCTCCCTGAAGTGGGTGGTAGAAGAATGTAAAGGTTGCTGCTTGCTGCTGCTCTTGTACATCCGTTGAGAGGCACTATTCAAAGGGCTGAGCTAGCCCAGAGGGCAAGGGGCAGTGTAAAGAGAAATTCTAATCATTAGAATTTTAGTTTCTAATTAAACTGAACTACTTGTTTACATTATAGCCAATAATACCTCAGTTTTATTAATCCAATTTAAGTTGAATTGTCAATCACTTAGAGCAGAAAGATCCCTGACTGATAGATACCATCACCTTTCTGGCCAACTTGTTGCAATTCTTCATTTGCATAAGTTGGGAAACTTTTCACTTCTTAACAGTTGGGATCTTATCAGTCTACAGAGAGGCAGTCTTTTTTTTATCCATTTTCCACTTGTTTCACAAAATCAGGATGATTCAGGAACCGCCATCTATGTAACTGAGAGCACTCAAGTGTAATACTTTATGATACCTTTTGTCATCTTGTTTCTTTCCTTTATGTTATCGCTTTACTTTTCTGGTTCAGAAAGTCAATTACCATTTTCATGGGTCTTCCAATGGCCTTCTTTTCCTAAAGCACCTTATTTTTATATAGATATTTTAGCTTTTAAGAAATTGATGTATACAGTTAACACGCCGAGCACATTCTTATATTCCATGCTGTTAGGTAGCTACTAAACCGATTTACAGCCTGTCAGAGCAACTATCTCTGCAAACCACTTTACCAAAGTTTAAAATTATTTGAAAATAGTAAATTAAAAATAATTACCTGGAAAGAACTATTCTAACTTACCAATGATCGGATTCACAGGATTGCCACAAATTGGGTATGAATAATATCTAAAAATATAAAATGTAATAAAATATACATAATATTATGTGTAAAACCATATTATGTATACGATAACTTCCAAATTTGTTTTTTTTTCTGAATCACAAAGTGCTTCAACGTTATCAACAAAGATCAATTACCATGTTTCCGTGAATTTGTACATGGGCTTCTTGTTTCTTAGAGATTTATGGTTGACTGCTTGATTGATACGTTTTATCTTATTTAAATTGACTATGGTGCCATCAGTTTTTTTCTCACTTAAGTTCTACACATATATATGCATAAAATGTTGGTTATTAGTTATTCCCCTTGCTTTTCCTGCGTCATTTATTTTCTTCAATAAGCGGCTTCAGGGAAAAAAATAAAACACTGGCTAAGGATTAAAAACAGTTACTGTTCTCATCCAAGTTACAAATTAGTGTTTATAATTAAACTCCAAACTTAACAATTTCTTTGTTTTGAATCCATCCTGTTGAGTGGTTACAGAATTGTCTATTTCTTCTAACCTAATGCTAATAATGTGCTGGCTTCTACATCTTTATAATTGTTCATTAGCTTCAAGCAGTATGCTTTGACTTCTATGTCCTTGAAACTATGAAATTATGTTTCTATAATTCAGTTTTTCTTAATGTTTCTACTTTACATAGAATGTATTATGAAACTGAGATCTGAGGCATTTTTAGAAATTCTGAACGGGGGATATCAGTTTAGTCAGAACAGTGTCAAATGTGGAACCCAAACAACATAATTGGTACTTTGAGGTTGAGGTTGATGTGACATTCTCTTGAACATATTTTAATACTAATGCATATTTAAATTAAGATTTTAACCTCCTGACGTTCAAACCAACAAGCCAATCACTATCCAACTAGAGAGACATGTCTTACAAATAAGATGACACGACAAAAATCACTTGTCTTGAATCTATGTTTATTGCACAAGAGATTTGAAAAAAGACTAGTTGTTTATTAATATTTTGACAGTGAATTTTTATATTAAAATAGCTTTTCCAATGGATTATACACCCAGAAACCATCCCAAATATATTTGTCTATATCCTGAAAGGCTGCTACCTAAAAATGATGGTATGGCATGTGTTCAAACATGACATCCATTTCATTTTACAATTTTATCTTTTTATATAGCAGGTAGATTTCTGGCTATCCTACACAATATAATTTTTTGTTTCCAAGAAGACCAGATGAGGTAGGCATCTGTATTAGAAATACGCTAGACCTCCCTATCAGAATCTACCTGTCCAGAAATAGTATTATTTATTGTATCCCTTTTTGATCCTTGTTACCAGCCTCAAAGTAGCAAGGCTTCTTCAAAGAAGCTTAGCTTTGATCGTGACCAGAGCCAGGTTGACAGGTGAGATGTTAAAGTTTGTTTTGCCCCAACATGATCTTGTCATGACCCATTTTGGTGCCATGCAGCTGAAGGTATGTTTTGGTTGAGGATTCTAACTATTCTAACTTCCAGTGAATTCATGCACAGCTGGATCTTGTTGGGAAAAAGAATCATCTTTCAACCCTTCAATGGTATTTCCTACTTACCATTTCATTTAACATTTATCAGAGTGCCACCTTTGTAGTAAAATGCTGAAGTGAAAATTCTTATGTTTAATAGCAGGGAAAAGTGAAAATGATTGTATCTGATTGAATCTGTACTTGCAGTGAACAGTTTAAATTTAAATTGGGAAGGTGCCAGAGGCCTATTGGCTTCCTTCCGTAATTGTCAAGTTCCATGGAATGGAGGAAGTTATTTTAATTCCAAGTAACAAGAATAATTTTGCATCCTGAGATCCAGTGCTGCTACTTAAAACCAAAATACACCAACATTTTATGGCACAGAAATACAGAAGATCCTTCTTGCCAAATGCCTCTGTGTTTATTTACTTCAAGTCCCAGAAGAACAACCCAGATCAATTTTGCCACTGACATTATAAATAGCATAGCAAATTCATAAGGAGTCTTTTCTTCAAAGAACGGAAACTAATCTGAAGTCTGATTAAACTCACAGGGTCCTTGTGAGGGAGATGGGAAGAGGCAGAGTATTTTGTCTAATTTCAAGTTCAAGAAAGCAAAGAACACAAAAGTTAAGTGGCTGGTGTCCATTTACTCAAGTAAATGTATTCAGGAGTTGAGCCAGAAATAAAGATCAAGTCTTCTGGCCCATGCACTAGGCCCCATGCTGCCTCACAGCTTTCAAAACCTTCATTTTCTTGGGAAATGCTAAAAAGCTTTCCCCTACCATACATACTAGATTCAGACACACTGCCATCTACTGACCCACCAAAGGATGTGCCAGCACAAGACATCCTGACCTTCAAGGGAGGGAGGAACACCTTGAGAGGAGTTGAGATCCTGCTTTCTCTTCAGAATGCCATCTCTAGGATGCCAATGGGCTGTGTCTACAGTACTATGTAGGAAAGTGCTGCAAGAGGTAAGTGAATTTAGAATATTTCCTCCCCGATGAAGGGATTAGTATTCTGGCACTATTAATATTTATATAACGATGTCACAATGCACCATGTTGTCTATATGTGGGATATCCTTGAAATAACCCCTTCCTCTCGTACTCTTATTTTGACATATTCGTCTAGGGATTTGAATAGTATAAGACAGCCTTTCTTTTTCACATAAAACAGTTTGAGGAATGCCATACGATTTTTGTGTTGTCTATTTTGTCTTTCACTGGTGTCCTATAAGATGTGCTAGTTATCCTACATGATGCCAAGAAAGGCATAATAGAAACCAAGCTAAATAGCCACAGTCCTGTGCTTGTAGAAAATATCATAAAATGTCCTAAAAGAGCTCTAACAATAGGAGAACTAGGCTCCTAACTATAATTTCAGCAATATTCTTTTTCGTTCAGAGCCAAGGTATTTTTTTCCCAGAAAAAATATCAGTGTCTTTCTTGCCACATCAACCCTTTAGAGGTTGCCTACATTCTTCCTAGAATAAAAGTAACATTTTAAAGACTTCATCAAGCGATGATGAATACAATTACTGTTTTTATTCCATTTTTACAGCCAAAAATTAAAGTTATGATGTTTGTCTATTGCTTGTGATTGTACTTAGTCCATTGCCTCTAAGAAAGAAGTTGAATTTAAGTATGTGGACCATATATTTCTTTTTTGATGAGTGTAAATGGATAAAATTAATATCTTAATATATAATCAGTGTCTATAAAAGAATCCACGTAGTAGCAGAGAAGCATTTGTGCCATGCTGGTTACTTGTCTTCATTTGCTTTGAGATCTCAAGAAAAGTTTATTTCCCAGGATGGTGGTTCACAGGCATTGTGGTTGAGGACTATACATAGAAAACTAATTGTGAAAATAGAACTTATTCCTATTCTTTCAGGATATGAAATCTTATGTTCATGACAATTTAATTGTTTTTATAAAATAATTGGTTTGGCATTACAGTTAGTAAAGCAGAACTTATCCTTTGAAGTTTACAGCTTGGAACTCAATCTGAAGAAGACCACTGATTTAATTTGGAATAAATGTCTATATGTGTCCAACCAAATCTTTACAGAAATATCTTAAGTCTTCTTAGGCAGAAATAAGAAACTGTTGTTTCCAAATTTTTTAAATGTCAAGAGGGTCTCTAAAATTATGACAGAGATGAGGGATACAAGGAGAGATACATAAAGAATGGAAACATCTGGGAGTTTTACTGACTCAGTGAAACTAGGGCATTGTGAAAACCTAATTGAAAAATCTACAGAGAGAAAAGTCCAGTTCACAAATCTGGCCCTCACATGTTCAGTCCTTAGTAAAGGCTTATTAGATATTGCAAGATGAGAGTGAGGTCCAGGAATGGTTAAATGAAAAATGAGAAAATAAAAGGTTATGAGGAGAGCAGGAAGGAATAATAATAGGAGGGTGCCAAGGCATTTGAACATCTTTGTTATGAGCTTGGACAAGATGCTAGACATTTAGAAAGCTTACCTGAGTTAAACTGAACTACCAAACTTATTGAGAAGCAGTAACAAGAACAAAATGTTCTTTAGCCTTGTTCTATTTAAAGCAGATGCATGCATATTAATCTTTTACAACATGATATTTATATTTGATTCTTCTTGTAAAACCATCACAAGACATCAACTCGTCAGAATACATAGATTTTTTAAATGTTTGCAGAAACTATCTTCCTGACACTGGAATGGTGAATTAATTCAAGTGTTATCCATATGTTTCCTCTGTTATTCTTTCTTTTAATTTTTCTGTCATTATATTTTTGATGATTTAAGACAGAGATACAACATCACATTTTCTTAAATAAAGAATATAAAAATAATTTCACACAGAATTAAAGGTATTTGTACAAATTAGTATGGTTTGTTTTAGATAAAAGATTAAGTAATCAGTTAAATCTCCTAGACCTAGGTGAGCCATAAGAAACACAGGCAGCGTCTGGCATTCTTGTAGAGTTGAGGAGACAGCTGAGAGTTCCCAGACAAAAGCAGCTAGGGTTCACAGAGCATGAGCGAGGGGAGAGCTGCATGGGGAGAAAACTCTGGCAATTTCTATCAGGTCTTTCTCAAGTGTTTCAGGAGAGAACTCATCTGCACACGTGTGGGTGAAATCTACTCGAAACTGAAGAATGAACCTCTGGAAGGACTAAGGGGAACAATTCTTGGAGCTCAGGTTAGGCCAAGAATATTTTATTTTTCTTCACCATCCAGAAGGGTCAGTTCATCAAGAGGATATAGCATTGTGAAGTATTTATGCAAGTAGTAACAGAGCTTCAAAATACATGAAACGAAAATAGATAAAGCTGCAAGGAGACACATATTCAAAAAATAGTTTAAGGTTTCAATATCCCACTCTCAATAATTGATAGAAAAAGTTATGCTAATTCTATACAAACTCTTCCAAAAATTGAAAAGTATGGAATACTTTCCTAATCAGTTAATGATGCTAGCATTACTCTGACACTAAAACAAACAAACAAAAAAAGCATTTTAAGAAAAGAAAACCGGCTGGACACGGTGGCTCACGCCTATAATCCCAGCACTTTGGGAGGCCGAGGCAGGTGGATCACAAGGTCAGGAGATCAAGAATATCTTGGCCAGCATGGTGAAATCCCATCTCTACTAAAAATACAAAAATTAGCCAGGTATGGTGGCACGCGCTTTTAATCCCTGCTACTCCGGAGGCTGAGGCAGAAGAATCACTTGAACCCAGGAGGCGGAGATTGAAGTGAGCTGAGATCGCACTATTGCACTCCAGCCTGGGTAACAAGAGTGAAATTCGTCTCAAAAATAAATAAAATAAAATAAAATCAGAGACCGATATTTTGCATGAACATAAGATATAATAATTCTTAACTAAATGTAAAAAAAAAAACAGAATCCAACAATATGGAAAAAGCATAACGCATCATTACCAAATATGTATTATCCCATAAAATGCAAAAGTGGTTTAACATTTGAAATTTATCAATATAATTTACCATGTTAACAGATTAAAAAGAAAAAATATACAGTAATCTAAATAGATGCAGAAAAAAACTAAGACAATCGGATTTAACATCTATTTCTGATAAAAACTCTCAGCACATTAGAAAAAGACAGGAACTTATAAAAACCTACATACAATATCATATTTGTGTTATGGGTTAAATGCTTTTCTCCTAAGGTAAGGAACAAGAAAACTTCATTTGCTCTTTTCAACATTGTACAGGAGGATCTAGTTAGTGCACTAAGGCAAGAAAAATAAATAAAATACATTCAAATTGGAAAACAAGTAATTTATTATTATTATAATTTAAGTTCTGGGATAGATGTGCAGAACGTGAAGGTTTGTTACGCAGGCATACCGTGCTATGGTGATTTGCAGCACCCATCAACCATCATCTACATTGGGTATTTCTCCTAATGCTATCCCTCCCCTAGCCCCCTACCCACTGACGGAACCTGGTGTGTGATGTTCCCTTCCCTGTGTCCATGTGTTCTCATTGTTCAACTCTCACTTATGAGTGAGAACATGCAGTGTTTGGTTTTCTGTTCCTGTGATAGTTTGCTGAGAATGATGGCTTCCAGCTTCATCCATGTCCCTGCAGAGGACATGAACTCACCCTTTTTTATGGCTGCATAGTATTCCATGGTGTATGTCTCACATTTTTTTGATACAGTCTATTATTGATGGGCATTTGGGTTGGTTGCGAGTCTTTGCTATTGTGAATAGTCCTGCAATAAACATATGTGTGCATGTGTCTTTATAATAGAATGATTTATAATCCTTTGGGTACATACCCAGTAATAGGATTGCTGGGTCAAATGATATTTCTGGTTCTAGATCCTTGAGGAATTGCCACACTGTCTTCCACAATGGTTGAACTAATTTACACTCCCACCAACAGTGTAAAAGTGTTCCTATTTATCCACATCCTCTCCAGCATCTGTTGTTTCCTGACTTTTTAATGATTGCCTTTCTAACTGGTGTGAGGTAGTATCTCATTGTGGTTTTGATTTTTTTTTTGAGACAGAGTCTAACTCTGTCACCCAGGCCGGAGTGCAGTGGTGCAATCTGGGCTCACTGCAACCCCCGCCCCCGAGTTCAAGCAATTCTCCTGCCTCAGCCTCCTGAGTAGCTGGGATTACAGGCATGTACTATCATGCGCTGCAAATTTTTGTATTTTTAGTAGAGACGGGGTTTCACCATGTTGAACAGGCTGGTCTTGAACTCTCGACCTCCAATGATCTGCCCACCTTGGGCTCCCAAAGTGCTGGGATGACAGGCTTGAGTCACTGCACCCAGCTGGGAAACAATCAAACATTTTATTTCCAGACATGATCATCTATGTAGAAAATTAACTGACATCTACAAAAAAACTATTAGAAATAATAAGTGAGCTTTGCAAGTTTGCAAGGCGCAAACTTTATATACAATAAATAAATTGTATTTCTATATACTAACAATAAACAATGTGAAATAAAAATAGTATTTGTAATAATATACATAAAAAACTGATAAATATAATGAAAAATGTAAACAATATAAAGCATTAATGAGAGAAATTAAATGAAATATAAATAAATAGAGAGACAGTCTGTATTTGAAGATGAGAAGACTCAATATTGTTAAAATAGCAATTCACAAATTGATCCATATTCAATCCAATTTCAGTCAAATCCCAGTAGTTTGTTTCATAGAGGCTGACAATCTAATTCTAATATTCATATGGAAATTCAAAGAACTTAGAATAGCTCAAATAACTTTGAAAAAGAACATAGCTGAATGACTTACACAAGCTGACTTCAATGCATACTATAAAAGCTGCATTAATCAAGAAAGTATGATATTGGCATCAAGATAGGCAAATGGATAAATGGAACACATTGAAGAATCCAGAAATTGATTTTCAACAAAAGTACAAAGACAATTCAGTGAAGACAGAATAGTCTTTTACGAAAACGATGTTGGATCAATTGTATATTCACATGCGAAAAAATAAAAGAACTTTAATCTATACCTTGCATCATGTACAAAAAACTTAAAACTATTAAAATTCCTAGAAGATAACAGTTATCTTGAGTTAGGCAAAGATTTCCTATATAAAACCACTAAAGCCACAAATATATATGAGAAAAAGATTAATAAATTATGTGCCATCAAAATTAAGCATGTTTGTTGATCAAAAGATACTGCTAAGAGAATGAAAAGGAAAGCCACAGACCAGAAGGAAATATTTGCAATTCACATAGTTAGTAAATGATTTGTATGTTGACTATATAAAGACTTTCAAAATAAGAAACAAACAAAAAATGTATTAAATTAAGGGCAAAATTTTGAAATGACTCTTTAAAAACAACATGGATGCCAAATAAGCACATACAAATATGCTGAAATTATTAACCATTAGGGAAACGGAATCTAAATTTAGAATGAGATATCTCTACACATCTAGTAGAATGTGTACAATTTTAAAAAACTGACCCCACCAAGTGTTGTGAAAGATGTGAAGCAATCTATTTCATTCATAGGTATTTACACAAGATAAGTGAAAACCTGTCCACAGACAAGGTTGTTCATAGTGACATTATATGTAATCCACAATACTTGGAAACAACCCAAATTTCCATCAATAGATGAATGTGTAAACAAATTTCAGCATAATGAATTACTGCTCAGAAAGAAAAAGGAATGAACTAATGATATGCAAAACAACGTATAATGAGATTCAGGAAACACTATCTCAAATATTGCACCTTGGCATATTGAAGAAAAGAGTAGACGCAGACTTGTTACTCTGAACTTACCCCCAACCCTCACCCTTCTTCTCTTAAGCAGGTCGTAAGATTCTCATGTGAGAGTTGCCCTCCCTGTACCTCAAGGAAAGAAACCTCCTTCTCTCTGAAGATGAAGGGTCACAGAGAAGTACCTGAATTAACAAGTCTTACTCAGCTTCCCCCAGTTTATTATTATTAGATCACATCCCCTTTGTCCAGTATATCCACTTTTCATCAAACCTACTATAAAATACAGTTGACCCGTGAACAACATGGGGTTGCTAGAAGCACTAACTCACTACACAATAGAAAAACAGCATATAACCTTTGACTCCCCCCAACTTAATTACTAATAGCCTACTGTTGACCAGAAGAAGCCTTGCCGATAATATAGAGTTGATTAACATGTAATTTGTATGTTAATGTATAATATACTGTATTCTAACAATCAAGTAAACTAGAAAAAACAAAATATTGTTAAGAAAATCATAAGAAAGAAAAAATACATTTACAGTACTGTATGTTTTGCTTATGCCGTAAGTTTACCTCATGTGTTTACAAGATGAATCGTCTGTCTGAAATGATGAGCAAAGGCAGCTGCAGATCTCTATCTACAGTACATGTCAAGCAATTCAACTTTTGCTTAAAATTCCATGACTTTTCTCCACTTCTTAGGGGCACCTCCAGCAGATCTAGTGGGACTAGTGGCACTTTGTGCGGGTCCCTGTTATTAAAGGTTTAAGGCATTGCACTAAACAAGATGAAAAATACATGAGAACTGCAAAACATCGCTTTTTACTGCAATACACAATTTACTGGATAGATCAACTGCTTATTGAAAGATGATTCACCTCTCCCAGCATTTTAAGCAGATACTTGCAGCACTAGAGCTCAACATTATTAATAACAAGAGGAGATGACTGTAAAGATATTACAGTAGTACATATTGTACTACACACAATTTATGCAGTTAAGATTTAATATCGCATTTTTATGTTTGCTTACATTTCTCTCAACTGCATATAGCTGTGCTACATATGGTCTGTAAGTGTGAGCGTAAGTTTTGATAAATTTTATTTTTTGCAATAGATTTGTGTACATCTTGTGGGAATTGATGAAATGGACTAGTATCTACGTATGATTTTTTTCGTTTTTGACATAGCTTTTCTCTTTTTTTTTTTGATATTTCTAGGCTATGCAGTTCATCTGGGAGTCTTTCAAATTCTTGCAAATCTCTAAAAAGTTTTCTAATATATTTGTTGAAAAAATTTCCATGTCTAAGTGGACCTGTACAATTCAAACCTGTATTGTTCGAATCAATTTCATACCCAAGTTAAACAGTTTTAGTTTTCACATCCTTACGAGGATTCCTGTGTCATGTAAAATATATTACACGGTTGTAGGTATGTGCTCTACCATGAGAAGAACATAGGCCATTTATTTCCACCCAGGAGTCTTAGTTTTTAGATATGCATATGCCAACCTGAGAGGTACTGAACTAATGCAGCCACGCTTTGTGTGTTCTAGCCATATTTGAAAGTTCTTTTTTGTCTAAGGAAAGGAGAACAATTCTCAGAGAACTCATCTAGAATAACATCCCTTTACTTTCTTATAAGGAAGAGAAAGTTGCTTCTTTGAGCCTTTGGAGACATAAGTTTTAAGGTGCTAAGAAAGAAAAGCAGATCACTCTATTTTTTTCTCTCACAAAGCTGTGTCTAATTTCCACACAACATGAAAGCCATATCTCTTATGTCATTACTAATCTGCATGTCATGTTCTACCTTGTGTTTTTATTAAATTTTTTTATTTTTTTATTTCAATAGGTTTTTGGGGAACAGGTAGTGTTTGGTTACATGAATAAGTACCTTAGTCGTGATTTCTGAGATTTTGGTGCACCCATCACCCAAATGGTGTACACCGTACCCAATGTATAGTCTTTTATTCCTGGCCACGCCCCACCCTTTAACCTGAGTCCCCAAAGTCCAATGTGTCATTCTTATGCCTTTGCTTCCTCATAGCTTAGCTCTCACATATGAGTGAGAACTTGTGATGTTTGGTTTTCCATTCCTGAGTTACTTCATTTAGAATAATAGCCTACAATTCCAACCACGTTGCTGTGAGTGCCATTATTTTGTTCCTTTTTATGGTTCAGTAGTATTCCACAGTACATATATATATATACACACACACACACACACACACACACACATATACAACATTTTCTTTATCTACTCTTTGACTGATGGACATTTGGACTGGCTCCCTATTTTTGCAATTGCAAATCGTGCTGCTATAAACGTGCATGTGTAAGTATCTTTTTTTGTAAAATGACCTTTTTGTTTTCTGGGTAGATACCTAGTCGTGGGATTGCTGGATCAATGGTAGATCTACTTTTAGTTCTTTAAGGAATCTCCACACTCTTTTCTATAGTGGTTGTACTAGTTTACATTTCCACCAACAGTGTAAAAGTGATCCTTTCTCACCGCATCCATGACAACATTGATTATTTTTGATGTTTTGATTATGGCCATTCTTGAAGGGGTGAGGTGGTATCACATTGTGGTTTTGAATTTGCATTTCCTGATACTGATGTTGAGTACTTTTCCATATGCATTTTGATGGGATTGTTTGTTTTCTTCTTACCTATTTGTTTGAGTTCTTTGTAGATTCTCGATATTAGTTGTACATTCCATGTGTTTTGACAAATGTATAATAATGTGCATCCATCATTATAGCATTGTACAGAGAATTTTCACCACCCTAAAAAAATCCTCTGTGCTTTGATTATTCATCCCTTCCTTCTTCCTAATCCCTGGAAAACACTAATCATTTTACTGTCTCCAAAGTTTGGCATTTTCTAGCATGTTATATAGTTGGAATCATAGAATATGTAACCTTTTAAGCCTAGCTTTTTTCACTTAGTAATATTCATTTAAGTTTTCTCCATGTCTTTTTATGGATTGATAGCTCATTCCTTTTTCGCACTGAATAATATTCCATTGTCTAGATGTAACGCAGTTTATTCACCTACTTAACGTCTTGATTTATTCCAGTTTCAGGAAATTATGGATAAAGCTGCCATACAAATCCATGTGCAGGTTTTTCAATGGATGTATGTTTTCATTTTCTTCTGGTAAATATCAAGGAGCACAAGTACTGGTTCATATGGTAACGATATGTCTAGATTTGTAAGAGACTGCCAAACTGTCTCCCAAAGAGGCATTCCCACCAGCAATGAATGAAGAGTTCCTGTTTCTCTGCATCCTCATCTGTAGAGATGCTCCTTGACTTATGATAGGGTTATGTCTGGATAAACCTGTGATAAGTTGAAAATATAAGTCGAATGTGTGTTTTTGACTGAGAGTATATTCAACTCACCATGGATTTGTCCAGACATGACCCCATCAGAAATTGAGGAGTGTACTGAATGTATATCACTTTCACACCATAATAAAGTAAAAAAAAAATCTTAAGTCAAACCATTGTAAGTAAGAAATGATCTGTATTTGGTATTCTCAGTGTTCCAAATTTTGGCCACTTTAACAGGTAAGTAATGGTATCTCCCTAACATTTTAATTTGCATTTCCCTGATGGCATATGATGTGGGTGTGGAGTATCTTTCCTTTTCTTTCTCTCTTCTTTTCTTTTTCTTTTCTTTTTTTTTTTTTTTTTTTTTTTTTTTTTTTTTGGATACAGGGTCTCACCCTGTCACCCAGGCTGGAGTGCAGTGATAGCTCACTGAAACATCTAATTCCTGGTTTCAAGCCATCCTCCTACCTCAACCTCTCAAGTAGCTGGGACTACAAGCACATGCCATCTGATGTCTGGCTATTTTTTTTTTTCTAGAGACAGGGTCTTCCTTTGTGTCCAGTCCAGTCTTGAACTCGTAGCCTTCAGTAGTCCACCTGCCCCAGCTTCCCAAAATGCTGTGATTGATAGGTATAAGCCACATGCCAGGACTCCTGGAGTATCTTTTCATATGCTTATTTGCCATTTGTATATCTTCTTTGGTGAAGTTTCTGTTAATATCTTTGGTCTATTTTTTAATTATATTTTTTATTGTACAGTTTTAAGAGTTATTTGTGTATTTGGGATAAAAGTATTATCAGGTGCGTCTTTTGCAACTATTCTGTCCCAGTCTTGTCTTTTTATTCTCTTGACAGTGTCTTTCATGGACTAGAAAATTTTAGTTGTAGTCTAGTTTATCAATACATTCTTTTATTTGTCATGCCTTTGGTGTTATATCTAAAGAAATTATAGCCAAACCCAAGGTAATCTAGATTTCCTCTCTGTTATCTTCTGGTGGTTTTATAGCTTTGTGTTTTACCTTTAGGTTTGTGTCCATTTTAAGTTAGTTTTTGTGAAGAGTAAGGTCTATGTCCAGATTCATTTTTTGCATGTGAATGCAAAAATTTTTTTTTTGCATTTTTGCATTTTTGCATGTGAATGTCCAGTTGTTCTAGTGCCATTTGTTGAAAAGACTATGGTTTCTCCTTTGTATTGACTTTGCTCTTTTGTCGAAGATCAGTTGACTATGCTTATGTGGGTCTATTTATGGGCTCTCTGTTATGTTCCATTGATCTATTTGTCTGTCCCTTCATCAGTACCACACAGTCTTGATTAATATAGCTTTATAGTAAGTCCTGAAGTTGGGTAGTATCAGGCTTCCAACTTTGTTCTTCTCCTTCAATACTGTGCTGGCTATTGTGGGTCTTTTGCTTTTTTATATAAATGTTAGAATAAGTTTGTTGATATCAACAAAACAACTATCTAAGATTTTAATTGGGAGTGCATTCAATCAATAAATCAAATCAAGAACTGACATCTTGATAATATTATCTTGCTATTCATGAATATGGAGTATCTCTCCATTTGTTTTGTTATACTGTTTTCTATACCTCAACACAGGTTTTCTGATATAGATATCGTACATATTTTGTCAGATTTAAGCATAAGTATTTTCTTTTGTGGGTGCTATTCATGAATATGGAATATCTCTCCATTTGTTTTGTTATACTGTTTTCTATACCTCAACACAGTTTTTCTGATATAGATATTACACATACTTTGTTGGATTTATGCATAAGTATTTCCTTTTGTGGGTGCCAATGGAAATGGCATTGTGTTCTTAATTTCAAATTCTACTTGTTCGTTGCTGGCATAAAGGAATGTTAATTGGCTTTTGTGTATTGATCTTGCACCTTATATCCTACAACCTTGCTATCATTTCTTATTAGTTTTAGAAGGTGTTTCTTTATTCTTGTTGAGGCTTTCAAGAATTGACTTTCAAGAATCTCAAGATGTTCTACATAAACAATCATACCATCTGTGAACAAAAACAGTTTTATTTCTTCCTTACCAATCAGTATAGCTTTTTTTTTTTCTTTTTTTGAGACAGGGTCTTGCTCATTCACTCAGGTGAGAGTATAGTGATGCGATTGCAGCTCACTGCAACCTTGATCTCCCAGGCTCAAGTGATCCTCCTGCCTCAGCTTCCCAAGTAGCTGGAACTGGAGGCATACACCACCATGCCTGGATAGTTTTTGTATTATTTCGTAGAGATGGGATTTCATCATGCTGCCCAGGCTAGTCTCAAACTCCTGGGCTGAAGCAATCTGCCTCCCTTGGCCTCCCAAAGTGCTAGGATTACAGGCATGAGCTACTGTGCCCTGCACTGCTCCCTCCCTCCACAAACATTTTATTTTATTTTATTTTTTGTCTTATTGCATTAGCTACAACTTCCAGTATGATTTTGAAAAGTAGTCATGACAGGAGATATCCTGCCTTGTTCCTCATCTTGTGGAAAATCTAGCTTTGCACTATTAAGTATGTTAGCTATAGATTTTTTGCAGCTATTCTTACCAATTTGAGGAACTTTCCCTCTAAGTTTACTGAGGTTTTTTTTTTTTATCATGAGTGAGTATTGAATTTCATCAAATGCTTTTTCAGCATATATTAATATGATCATGTGATTTTAATTCTTTATCTTATTGTAATGGATAACATTAATTGATTTTTGACTGTTGAATCAGCCTTGCACACTTGGGGTAAATTCCTCTTGATCATGTATATTATCCTTTTTGTACTTTTAAAAATTCAATTTACTAAAATTTTGTTGAGGATTTTTCCATCTATGATTATGAGCGACATTGATCTGTAGTTAGTTTCCTTGTCTTATAATGTCATTGTCTAATTTTGGTTTTAGGGAGATGCTGTCCTCATAGAATGAAAGTAGGAAGTATTCCTTATGCTTCTATCTTCTCAAAAAGTTTGCAGAGAATTGGTATTGTTTCTTCCTTCAGTGTTTGGTAGAATTCACCCGTGAATATATATGGGGTGGTATCTTGGAAGGTTATTAATTGTTGATTCAATTTCTTTAATAAACATAGGCCCATTCAGGTAGTCTATTTCTTCTCGTGTGTGTGGCTGACAGATTCTTTCACTAGTGTGTTGACTATCTGGTAATCAAAGGGTATAGGTTACAGGTGTTCTTATTTGTTCATTTTTCTTTTTAAAGAAAATATCCACTTGACATTATCTCTGTCCCTTCTATCAATCTGATTTATAAAGATAACAGTCATTTACTTACCTGCATAGGGTACTATAAGCCTGGTGGAGAGTGTTTCTGGGAGTTCAAAAAAGAAAGAAAATAGTAGACTAAGCATCAAAGACATTTAGTGATTTTGGTTGTACAAGAAATCTGAAAGTTGGGACTTCAGAGCTAGTGCAGTGGCTCATTGATGAGATGACTGACCTTAATCATTTCTGCTTTTTTTCTTTCATTCTTGCCTGTAAATTTGTTTAGTCTACCCGTTTTGTTTTCTCTATTGCATTCCACTGTACTTGATTTACTCAAACTCTCCTGGCGGTAAGTCTGCCGCCTTCTGTTAGAATGGGAAGGGGTAGTGAGCCAGAAGTTTTGAAGGTACAGCTATTTCATAGATGTATTTGCAACTCTTCCTCCTGGTCTGTTGTTGTTGTTGTTGTTGTTGGTGGTGGTGGTGGTGGTGGTGGTGGTATTGGTGGTGATGGTTTGTTGTTTGTTTGTTTACGGTTCCACACTTCTATCCCAAATGCAGTACATGGAAGATCTGTACTTGAGCCTCCAATTAATGAGACTCACTGGGAATCTGTGGACCCAGTTAGCTTGATTCTTGTGGTTTTCTCCTGCAAGCCCTTAGCAAGGGTGTGAATGCTGAAACCCAAATCATTCTTGCTATTCGTGTACTTTTTAAGTTGTGATTTCTGGATTCAGCTGGCATGTTTTCCCTTGTTCTTCTTACCCTTGTGAGTTTTAAAATCAATTTTATAATATTTTAATTGGGCTTAAGGATAAAGATTGAGATAATGCATGTATTCAACTTATCATATTCATGCAAAACATATTTTTCCTTATTTCAAAGATTTAACTTTGTTCTACTCTTAAAAAAAGCTACATCTAAGCTCACAAAACAGAAGTTACATACAGTTAAGTAATAGATAGTTAAGTCTCTCACATTTAATCAACAGAATCACATGGTGTTTGTTAAACATCCAGATTCCCAATTTCTCTATACATTCTAATTTAGAAGTCCTGGGGTATGGCTAGGTATTTTTTTCTTTTAATTGAATTAGCAGATAAATCTTATGTTTAGACAAATTTGTAAAGCATGTCTATATCAGTGTTTTCCAGTTCCACTGATAATACCAATTACCTGGGATGCTTGTTAAAAAATCCCTGGGTCTAATCTCAAGCTCACTGAATCAGAATCTCTAGGGGAGGATCCTGGGAATATGTTTTTTCTAATAAGCCCTGAAGGTGACTATTATCAGGAAGGAATTTTAAGAAATGGTGTTCTAGATAAGTAGAAAGGTCAAGAACGACAAATAAGTTTTAATATGTCTGACCATTTTAATTGGCAGTGACTCTGGAAGGTTGTGCTGAGAACTCTGAAGGCTTGCTGTGACTTTTTGGGTAAGAGTTTTGTTATCAATTAGCAGGAGCTCATATAAGAAAATAATTTATTTTTAA
This sequence comes from Homo sapiens, assembly GCF_000001405.40. Classification (NCBI taxonomy): domain Eukaryota; kingdom Metazoa; phylum Chordata; class Mammalia; order Primates; family Hominidae; genus Homo; species Homo sapiens. Next base: position 104,595,424 of record NC_000011.10, on the reverse strand, counting down.
ATATAGTTATTCTACAAACGCCTATTATTTTCTGTGTGCCAAGCACTGTAGGTGCTAAGGATAGCCACGATGCTCACGAAAACTAATAATTGCTATACTGCAATTTAGAGTCTAATATAGAAGACAGGCATTCATCAAGCAATCACACCATTATGTAATTATAAAATATGATAATTGCTAAGAAGGAAAATTATAGGATATGATATTAGCATATGATAGGAAGATCTGATTTAGTTTAGATATTTAATGAAATCTTTTCTAAAGAAGATGGGCAATATATGTGAAACGTTTTATAAATGTGGTAAGTGAATATAAAAATTTTTCATTAATGAAAGTACATTTGAATTAAAAAAAACAAATTGCAGGTACCATGGCATTTATCCCATGCTTCTCTCTACTGGCCACATATTCATTAATACGTAAGAACACATTGAGTGATAAGGAATGCATTAAAGACTGAATCAGGTGCCTTACTTTCAGAATTGTGGCAATCTCCATTTATACTTATATTTAACTTGATGTTAAAGATGGTAGAATGTTCTATTTATGACACCGCTGTGCAGACTCAACCTTGCATCACTATGAAAACATGACACCACTGTGAAATAATCACATTATAATGAGGAAGAGAACTGCATGGTGTGGGTTAAATAGTAAACAAGCGCAAAACTTCAACAGTGAGAGTCTTAGCAGCAGTGGTTCACTGGGGAGAAAAGGGGTGGTTTACTCACATTGGTGTCCAACTGAAGGAACCATTTGAAAATAAATGAAGTCTACTAAAGTACTCACAAGTTCTGGTTCTTTTTTTTAAAAAAGGCATAATACCTGGCAGTTCAGTGAATTCTGAAAAGCCAATGAATCCAACATTTGTGAACTTGTTTTTATATATTTTAACATAAAATGTCATGAATTCTAGCTGTCTGGGTGGCTTCCTAGAAAATCTATTTGAGGGCTTCCTAGAAAATCTATTTGAGGATGAGTCATAGGAGGTTTTGAAGACAAGATCATGTAGTTCCTCAATGCTAGCAAAGATTGTATTTTTTATTTATTAAAGACAAACCTTGAGACCAGTCACAGTGACTCACACCTGTAATCCTAGCACTTTGGGAGGCCAAGGCAGGAGGATCAGTTGAGCTCAGGAGTTCAACACCACCCTGGGGAACATAGTGAGACTTTGTCTCTACAAAAAATAAAAACAAAAATTATCCACACGTGGTGACACACACAAGCGGTCTCAGCTACTAGGGAGGCTGAGGTGGGAGAATTTCTTGTGCTCTGGGGCTCGAGGCTGCAGTGAGTCAATATTGCACCACTGCACTCGATGCTGGGTGACAGAGCGGGACCCTGTCTCAAAAAAAAAAACAAAAGACAAACTTTGAGAAATAAAACAATTGGAAATTATTAGATTAGATCACCTCTAAAATAGTCTCTAGCTCTCATAATCTCAGTTTCCCTAGGAATTGTTAAAAGAGAAAATTACAACAAATTTAGATTAAATGTCAAGTTGGATTTTATTGCAATTCTAGAATTGGGCAAAATTTCATTGTATAAAGCAGAATGAATGTTCTGATGAGTTAAGCAAAAGAGGTTGGCTTTATGGGCAGGAAAGAACCAAAGAAAGAAAACATAGAAAACAAAAATAAAAAAGATTGGTCATTTCAAAACTATTTTATAGGGCTAAAACAGAGAAGTCTTAGGCTGGGCGTGATGGCTCACGCCTGTAATCCCAGCACTTTGGGAGGCCAAGGCGGGTGGATCACCTGAGGTTGGGAGTTTGAGACCAGCCTGACTAACATGGTGAAACCCTGTCTTTACTAAAAGTACAAAAAATTAGCCAGGTGTGGTGGCATGCACCTGTAATCCCAGCTAATCGGGAGGCTGAGGTAGGAGCATCGCTTGAACCCAGGAGGTGGAGGTTGCGGTGAGCCGAGATGGTGCCACTGCACGCCAGCCTGGGCAACAAGAGCCAAACTCTGTCTCAAAAAAAAAAAAAAAAAAAAGAGAAGTCTTCCTTATTAAGCTTCCCCAATTTCCCAGTTTGACTAGAATTTCTTGTTTGTTTTTATGTTTTTGCTTTTTTTTTTTTTTTTCCCAAAAACTGGCTCTTTTGAAAGTTTAGTTTGACTCATGTGGCCCTTAGCACAAATGACTCCCTCCTGGTCTACTGGAGCCTCATGTAGGAGGCTAGTCCAAAACAATGGCCCCCAATAAACGTTGATTAACAAAGTGAATCTGGAATTTTGTTTTTTTGTGAGACGAAGTCTCACTCTGTCACCCAGGCTGGAGTGCAGTGGCACAATCTTGGCTCACTGCAACCTCTGCCTCCTGGGTTCCAGTGATTCTCCTGCCTCAGCCTCCCGAGTAGCTGGGATTACAGGCGTGCGTGACCATACCTGGCTAATATCTTTATTTTTAGTAGAGACAGGGTTTCACCATGTTGGCTGGGTTGGTCTTGAACTCCTGAGCTCAAGTGATCCACCCACCTCGGCCTCCCAAGGTGTCAATCTAGAATTTTAACACAGTGATTTGACTACAGTTTCAAGTAGAAGAGAGAGAGAGGGAATTGATTTCTTAGTGAATCAGAACAGTCTTAGGATTTTGTTCAATGAAATTGTGGGGAGAGGATAGTTACCATATCTGAAAGCAAGATCAGTACTGCTTAGAGAATGCTAGAAGGTAATACAAGCTAGCAGAGGTAAATTTTGAGGTTTTCAGTTTGAGATTAAAATTGTCTAATTGCTTACTCATAGGTATAATGATTATTTTACAAGTACTTTAATAAAATATACTTTGATATTTAAATTAATTTTTGAGCAAGTCTAATATTATTATAACTAACATATCCCTTTGGGTTAATTTATAAATAAAAATATTTCAAGAAATATTATGGTCTTGAAATATTCATTGACAAGAAACTATTTTTCAGTGCTCCAATTGTATTATTTTTATAATTTTAATTGAACTTTTCTTCCCCAGATCAAAACACATTATTGTATAAAATTTTCAGCATACTTTGAGAATGAAATTATTTTCATTGCTCTCCAAAATCTGCCCACAGAAGCATATTAAAAGAATGAATTCACTTTCCCTGAAACCTCAAAAGATCACGTATGTATAGCAAAGTTCTTTAAATGAGCATCTGATCTGACTTTCAGGAACAAAAGAAAAACATTTCAGAAGTAAAAGGGAAAATGTCCCAAAGAACCATTTATAATGTCCAACTTTACACAAAATCTGGCTCAGTTATTGAGACCTACTTGAACCAGGCTACTTCCTGGATTTTCCCTCTGTGTTCAGCCTTTAGAGCACTGTGGCTATCAGTATTATGCTAAATCACACCCTATGGCGACCCTTTCTGGCAACAGCAGTTAGAGTAGGATTGTGCAGTAAAATTAAAAATGCCTGAAGGCTTTGGATGCTACCTGATTCTGGACTTTTGTTTATAATTCCAGAGCATCTCTAGACCAACTGTACTGGATTATATCATGACAGGGTCACATAAGAAGAATATTAAAATTCTTCATTTCTAACATATGACTATTTGAGAAATTTATAAATCAATCTAAATATTGTGGCAGTATATAGATTTCGACAAATTTACCTGTCCTGAAAAATTCCACTGCATTGCAGAGGGGCAGGTGGTCACTTTTCCAATCTCTGGGCTTAGAAATTATACTGGGGCTGTATCCATGTTCTATGAGTGCTGATTTGGCAACAGCTTATGGGCAGCTGTCATCTGCACAGAACGAAATAACTCAACATTTCTTTTTATTATTGATCACCATTGTCTGGTAGCTAACTCTCTAGTATCTGCATATGAATAATCAACTGCAGTATTACTTTATTTTCTGCTCTGAGAAAATTGTCCTTGACATTGTTTACTGGCATTCATTATGCCCTTGGGAATAATAACTAATTTTAATGTTAGCCTAGGTTAAAAAGTAATTATGAAAGCAAATAATTGCAAAAGTCAAGCCAATCCTATATTCCTAAAACAAATATTGCTCTGATATCTTGCTCATCTATGCTTCTTGGTGGCATTCAGCTAACAGATTTAACTAGCCTTTGTTGATTCTTATTTTTAATGTAGGCCAGGTACTTTTACAAATATTTATCCACCCATACATGTATTGAACACCTTAGTGGCCCCATATGACCCAGCTCTCATCTATGGTACTATGATTATTATGCTTTGGATCTCCAGGCATCAATGTCAATTAAGACCTGTGTCCAGTAGTCCTACAAGTATTTGAATAATGCCTTTTTCCAAGTTTATTGTTTAACTCGAATAACTGGCTATGGATCCCTTCGGCGAAGGAATGAGAGTCATTGTGGAATAGACTCACTGTGTTGTTGCAGCTTCCTTTCTCTTGGGAGGATCTAATTTTATTTTTGGTCAAATGATTTGAGAACAGGAAACAGACTCAGGTTAGAGAATTGAGGAAGGTATGTTTTTTTATTGAGGTAACTACCCTCAGCCTCCTGGTCATCCATCCTTGATTTCTTCTGCTGGTACAAGCTGAGTAATATCCTTGTTGCCCACCTATCTGTCTTGCTATAGAGATGCCATGTGCCATAACTATATAAATATCTACCAATTCATAATCCTCTGTGGGTCAGATCTCTTGACTTCAACTATAACTTGCTGGATAATAAGATAATTGTAACCTATTAAATTTAGTGGTTAACTCCACCACCTATCGTCTATTTTTTTTTTTGAAGTGTAGGTGGGTCCTATTAACCCCACTGCTATCAGAAAGCCACATTTTAGTTTATCCAACTAACAGTCATAGTTCACAAAGTAAAGGCAATACTACAAGTTTTAGTGTTGCTGGTGCCTGTCTCACCAGGTTATTCCTCATAGCCCTTATAAATAATACATCCTCTGGGCCTTTCCATGAAGCATACCATACCCATTGGCTAGACCTGCTGACTATATATGCTGTATCTACTTCCCGCCTGCCCACTTCCAAGAGCATTTTTATTCCTTTCCCTTTTCTACTTCTCCAGTTTTTAGCCCTTTGACTTCATTCAGCATAGTCCATTGCTTTTTACGTGCCTTTAGTTGACATTCTAGTTTGCCCCATATCCTGGGATCATTGCCTGGATGTTAAATTCTACATCATAGGAGAGTATTTACAAGTCAAGAAACTCTTACCTATCCTATTTTATACTCATTCCCCTTGATTAAGCACCCTCAGAATCCAACCCCATTTATGCTCCCCCTGGACTTGCTGGTGTATGATGTCTATTTTACGTGGCTCCTTTTGACTATAAAACCAGCTAAGTTATGCTACAACGTAACACAGTTATAGCAGCAGTGGGCATGATGGGACGTGGGAGCAGATCCTGAGGGGCACACATGATGACTTACAGGAAAGAGCCTCTGAATTATTAACCAACACAAGAAGTGAGTATTAGAGCATTCTAGCTCTTCATGGGAGTGTCATTTTTATAGACTCAGTAGGGCTTTGAGAAGTCAGAAAGATTCATGGCATACACCCAGGCCTCTCCATCTAATGTGCCAGCATTCTAGGATTTTCCTACTGGAGCCCTTACCTTAACATGAGAGAAGAGCCTTGATGAGCATTTAATTGTCTTTGAAGTTGATCTCTCTGTCTGTTAAGTCTACAGCTTTGTCCCTGGATTTATCTACCTGTCACTGAAGAAGAAGCTTTCACACCTGACTTTAAATTGTCTAGTACTCTCCTCAGCTCCTCATAACTTCTCTGTGGAACATCAATGACATTTAACTATAGTCAAGCAAGCATGTTATCCATATAGCATTTCTTCCATTCATCTCAAACACCTAATGCATAGGATTAATCAGCACATTTCTTTTCATTAATACACCTTCTTAATTCACTACCAGTGATAGGGTTAATGACTGAACCACCATCTTACACTAGGCCCATTTGTACTCCACCTCTCTTCAGTGTGGGGATCCTTATTACCAGACAGGTGGAGAATGATTCAACTTCAAAACCCAACTTCAAAAACAATCCACATTCTTACCTGCTTGCTTGAACCATTCCCAGTTCCAATTTGAATTATAGTTTATTAGAAATCCACATTATGATGCTTGCCTGCCAAGACCTTTGCTAACATGGCAGGGAGTGCTGTAGCAATAGTTTCCCAAGAGTTAACCCATATCAGCTTGAAATTTGACAGATTTTATATGTCTGCTTCTATCAGATATGAGATTCCCTTGGAAAGCCATGCTCTAAAGCAAACAGCTCTCTATACCGCTGAGGCTGACTTTGAAGGAGCTGACAGCTGGATGCTTTCTATTCACCACACTTCTGACAGCTGAAAAGAAAGACCTTTGAAGGGAATTCACACTAAACATTTTCATATCTACCAAGTTAGTCTTTTCCAAAAAAATAACTTTTGGCTTTATTCATTTTTCCTCATTGTCCATTTGTTGTCTGTTTCACTGACTTCTGCTCTAAATTATTCTTTATTGGTTTGTTTACATTTAATTTGCTGGATTTTTTTCTAGCTTCATGAAATGAACACATAGGTTACCAATTTAAGAATGTTTCCTTTTGTCGATTAGAAGCATTTAAGCCTATACATTTCTCACTAAGCACAGATTTAACTGCATCCTATAGGTACATAATTTAGTATCTTTGACTCATTTGGTTATTTTGAAGATTATTGCTTAATTTATAAATATTTGAACCTTTTCAAGTATTATTTTTCTGTTGCTTTCTTGCATAAATGCACAAAGAAAACACACTCTTAATAGTTTCAGTCCTATGACATATGTTGAGATTTTCTTTCTGGCCCAGGATACAGTCTGTTGTGGAAACAGTTTCACGTACACTTAAAAATATAGTCTTCGGCTTTTTTGTTACAGTCTTCTACCACTATGTCAGGCTTTGTGAGGGTTGTTATTCTCTCTTATCCTTAATGACTTATTTTCTCCTTGTTCTAATATTTACTTAGGTTGTAATATGATTCAATCTTTTTTAAAGTTTTATTTTATTTTTATTTTATGTACTTTGAGTACATGTTATTAGCAGCATACAAATCTAGAATTATTACAAATTTTAGTGAACTGAAAATTTTTGGTGAATTGAGTATTTTGATGAAATGTCAATATTTTTAATAGTCCTTGGCCTTTAAATTCAAGTTGTATGATATTAATATAACTACACTAGATTTCTTTAATGATTTTATTACATGTCATCTATCAAGATGAGTTTTTTTCAAGTTGAAAAACTTTAACTAGAGCTTTCTGTTTGTATACACATAATACAATTACTGATTTGTTCAGTTTCAAATCTATTATCCTACTACTGTTTCCTCTTTATCCCATCTGTTCACTGTTACTTTTTTCTCATTCTTGTATTGTTTAAGATTTTGATATTATTTAATTTATTTTCTTCTATGATCTTATAGTTAATTTTTTAGTGGTCAACCTAGATTTTTATATGCTTTTTTTGATTTCTCAGACTTTACCTTAAATCAATACTTATACCACTACCTGGACAATGCAAGGACCTTACAACTTCAGCTCCATTTACTGAATTTTGTGCTACCATTTTTGTGTACATGATTTCTATACATATTTTCAACTCCACAACATATTGTTTAAGCAGTGAATATTCTTATCTTTTTACCTGCTTAATAATATCTTTTCATGTCTTTTAATGCGTCCTTCCCTGGATTAATCTCTCTGATTTTTGTTTATTTATAAGTGCCTTTTTTTATTTTTGAAGAAAATTTCATCATGAATAAGATTCTAAAATGAGTTCCTTTATTGCGATTTTCATTTTTGTTGTTGTTTTTTGAGATGGAGTCTCGCACTGTCCCCCGGGCTGGAGTGCAGTGGCGTGATCTCGGCTCACTGCAACCTCCGCCTCCCAGGTTCAAGCAATTCTCCTGCCTCAGTCTGCCGAGTAGCTGGGATTACAGGCGCCAGCCACTGCGCCCAGTTAATTTTTTGTATTTTTAGTAGAGATGGGGTTTCACTATGATGGCCAGGCTGGTCTCAAACTCCTGAGCTCATCAGCCGCCCGCCTCAGCCTCCCGAAGTGCTGGGATTACAGGCATGAGCCATCAAGCCCAGCCTGGCATTTTCAATTTTTTTTATATTCTACTTTCCACTGTTTCTGAAAGTTCGTTGGCAGTCTATCTCACTCTTGAAGGAAACATGAGTTTTATACAGTTGCTTTTCAAATTTTCCCTTGTTTTCAAATTCTTAACTACACCAATAATATGTGTGTGTGTTCTTTTATTTCTATTGGGGTATTTTGAAAGCTGTTTGAAGGAGAGGCTTTCTGGGTTTTTAAAAATTATTTTTAATTTTTTAAAGCTGTCTCAAAATGATTGCCCTTCATTCTCTTTTAATATTACTGTTTTTCTCTTTTGTCTTTCCTCTCGAGTTCTAATCACACAAAGTTCAGAACTTTTCATCATGTTGTATTTGACATCTCATGATATTTTCTGTATTTTAAAATTTTCTGTATTCTTTGTGTTTCAACCTCGGTATTTCTTGCTGAACTGTCTTTTAGCTCACTAACATTTGGTTCTGTGATACCTAAACCACTACTAAAACTTATATTACTTTCTTAATATATATTTTTCTTCTAACATTTGCATTTATTTAACAGATTGTGGTTCATCTTTTTCTCTACTTTGCATTCACCTTTTTCGCTACTTTGTAAACGCATTAATTATACTGATATTCAAGTTTTATGTCTGACAACAGAATCTCCTCTGGGTGTTTTACTATTGCTTTTCCTTTTCCTTTATTTTTTCTTCTTTTTGGGAGCTTTTTTGTCCTATTTCCTGCCATGACCAATTATTTTTTAAGCTGGATTTTGTAAATTAAATATATATATATATATTCAATTTATATATATAAGTTAAATTATATATATATATTCAATTTATATATATAAATTAAATTTTATTTTATCTATATCTATATCTATATCTAATCTTTATATATATATATACACACACACACACACACACACACACACACACGTGATATTATCTTCTTCCAAAGAGAATTTAATGTAATTCCAGAAAGCTGCTAGAGTCTGGCCAGATCATCTTCATATAGCCTATTGTGCAGTTCAGGTTTAGTGATTCCTGCTCTAATTCTACTCTGCCTTTACTTTTAAACGTGACCCTTATTTTTTATGATATTGCTCTTATTGTTAAGATTAGCTCTTTAAGATCCTCAACTGAGGTTTTTTTCCTGAGGCCCTTCTTTTTTTGTGGGATGGGGCCTCTAAAATTGCTTTCCCAGCACTGTGAACTGGACAAATCCTTTGCCTGTACTTCACAGTGCCTCACGCCAAGCGTGTGCATTTTACAAGTTGGCAAATGCTCCAAGGAAAATTGCATGTAATATTTGATGCTACTCCTCTGAATGTCCTCTCCCCCGTACCTTTTTCCCTTAAATCGTGGTTGCCCCAGTTCCTGAAGTCTGATTTTGTTCTCTCTATCTAATGATATTGGTCACAACTCAAGGCTATTACTTTCTCTTCAGGCTCCATCATTATCACTGAGAAACTGTAAATAAATAGGGAGAAATTATAGAGGCAAATTTGGGGTTGAGCTCAATGCAATTTCCTCTTCTATAGGTCTAGTCCCCACAATTCTTGGCTGTCGTGATTGTTTTCTGTGGGATCCAAATAGCTGCTTTGCTTTGTTTCTGTTTTCTATCCAGGTTTTACACTTACTTTCTCCAAGGATTTCTTTGATACATCTACTCCCTCATAGATGGAAACAAAACTTCCAACTCAGATTTTAAAGACATAAACTGTAATAGCATTTGCTTCCAATTTAATATCTTACTACTCTTGATCTATTTGCTCATTGTGTGTCTTGTTATCAAAATGCCAAAATGCAGAGATATTGTGAGAAATATTAAAATGCTCACATTTTGTCCTCTTGTTCTAATGACATACTAGAGCAATTTTTTCTTATTGGATGACCTCTGAAGAGAGTGGCTGAGCTATTATTGCCCAATGAAGAAAGGTTAGAAGGAAAAGCCACAAGCAAAACTGTAGTAACTGGAGGAAAATTGCTAGTGTAATTCCTAGTTTGACTGTGATATGAAAAGGGGAGCCTTTATATCCACCTGTGCAGGCATAAGATTCATTCTAGAGCCCATTCTCACAGCATGACATTTAGCATAAACTATTTTTAATGACTTGAAATAAAAGATGAATACAATTATTGTACCAGAAAGTTTAGCAATTAGATATGTTATTTTATTTTTTTCATAGTTCCCACAGACCCACTGCCTTATAAATTAATATACTATTCTTTACTGCAAGAGGAACAGAAGTGGTTTTTTTTCAATGTTTAATTGCTTAATGATGGATTTTCTTCATCTTCGTTGCCCCATGAAAGTTTTGGGGGCATCTGGTATATATCTCCATCAGAATTGAATGACCCTAGGCAGAGATCAGCAAATTTATCTAAGCCTGTGAAAAACAGAAATGGTTTATATTTTGGAGAGTAATAAGGATGGATCAGTAGACCATGTATTGCTCACGAATAGGGTTGAAAGGGACAAATCAAATAAGGAGGGGGTGCAAGTTAGAGAACACTCTCCAGATAATGCCAAAATAGAGAAATAGAATTGCCCTGAAAAGAAAGTCAGAATCAGGAGGAAATCATGACTGCATTAAAAAAAGTAAAAGACAAAAGAAAACAGGAGGATGAGAGACAATGTTAAAAGCTTGGAGAGTTAAGCAGGGTAGGTGAGGAAGAAGCCACAGACTCTGTACAAAAGCCTTCAGCTGCATTCATAAACAATCCATATTTATGGGGGCATGGCTGCTCCACAGTGCTCTGTTGAGGGCCATGGAGGCAGGAATAAATGTGTAAGGGGCCAGGCTGAATGTCAGTGCTCACCCTGGCATTGTTACCAGAGGAAGAGATCCGAGTTACCCTGAGTTACCTGTGGTGTATCTATAGCAAATTCAGTCCTTGCCTCCCCAGAAGAAATAATTCGACTGGAGGGCATAAAGCAGAATAAGAGACCAAGGCAAGTTTCAGAGCAAGAGTGGAAGTTTATTTAAAAAGGCTTTAGAAAAGGAAAGAAAGGAAAATTTGCTTGGAAGAGACCAAGCAGGAACCTGAAGTTCCAAGGGAGAAAAGACAGCAACAAGAAAGGGCTTGATCCTATGACTTTATGAGCTCCCCTCTTTCCTATGATTCTTCCCGTAGGGTGTGCCGCCGCATGCGCAGACCCCTCCTTACCCTTGGGAAGTGAGCACGCTCAGTGTGTTTAGGAAGTTGTACACATGCCCATCTGAGGCTTTTTTCCTTTTTCTGTTGGAGTGTACCCGTAAGATTGTACTTCGCCATTTTTGTTTCTTAATGTGCATACCCAGGGAGTTGCTTTCTCCCTGGGATCTGCATTTAGTTAACACTTTAATGTTAAACAGATGTGGAACATCAGGAAATCGCCTCTGCCTGGAGCCGGCTGCCAATTTATCACTTTTAGAGGGGCAATGCAGTAATTGCCGAATCATTGCCAGACATTTCTAGTGGGTGGGGGACAGCCCTCTCCTGCCCTGCTCATGCCTAACTACCTGTAACAGCATCATGGAAGACCTATCTTATACCCTAACTTCATGGAAATCTGTCTGGCCTGGATGTTTGTATGCTGTTTACACACATCTATGACCCATTTAGCGGATGTTAGTCTTGTGTACTGGCACATTTCTCCTATAGAAAAGCTAGACTTCCTAGACTACCTACTATGTATCCCCTTTCCTAATTTTCTGTCTCTCCTCATACAACCTTCCTACTTTCTTCCTCAACTGCTCTCTTTCCTTCTTCCTTCTCCCTCTATCTTTTTCTTTCTTTTTATCTTTCTTTTGCGTGCTCCATATGCCCACTTCTCAAAATCACCAGTTTATTTAAGGAAGGGGAAAGAGCCAAGAGTCAAACTAGGAATCGTGTTAGAAAAGTGGGATGGAAGGAAAATTCAAGATCATCTATTTCAATATCCTACCATACATATGGACCCTCTCTGAAACTAAAACATTTTCACATAGCTTTTATTGGAACATCTAGACATGAGAACCTCACTACTTCAGAGTCAGCTTGTTCTATTCATGGTGGGTTACAGTTGGTAGAAAAATTTCTTCTTGTGAGCTGAAATCTGTCACTCTCTAAATTTAGGCTAGTTAGCCCTATTGACTCAAGTTTATTTCTAATATATATTTTGTGGTATAGTATGGAAAGTTTGTCTTCTTCGAATTAGTTTTACTTGTCTATCAGTCATAAGTTTCCAAAACAAGCATTTTCTTTAACATTCTTACTGGAACCATTAGTTATTGCCCTTGAAAAATCAATGGGAATTTTGGTGCTGGAAGATTGAGTGGACTTAGACCTATTAAAATAAACTGAAATCTGTACCTACCAGAAAGTTTGGTTAACACTTAGGCATAGCCATTTCAGATAACAAAAGATAATATACATTCATTAGTAATATCTCCCAGGTACCTGTCTGATTTTGGGCTCCCTTTTGTAATTGATTCTGGGCTTGCACCTAGTGCCTTGCAGTTTTACAGAGTTTTTAGAGGAGCACCACATTGATTCTTTTTTCCAACCTGAAAAGCTAAGAAACATGCAATCGATCAAATTGAAAAGATAAAGAGAACCCTTGAAAACAGTAATTGCTTATCAAATATAAAGATGTCATTGTTGCTGTAATAGTTTCCAAACTCAAGAATCAGAGAGGATAGACTTTAATTTCCTTAGGGCTTTCACTACCCGTTAATGGAAGGTCAAATCTGTAATAGGTAGTCCCTCTGACTCATAGTCATAAGACTTCAGTATAAAGATAGGTTTTGCCATTGCATTAATCTATAACTTTGGACTAGTAACTTGACTCTTAAAACTCAATTTTCTTATCTAAAAAATAGTACTACTAACAAATAAGTAATATATGTAGAATATATATATATATAAAATCAGTAAAGGATTATATTGACTTTAGATAATATTTTTCTCCACTAGACTGTAAGCTTTTGAGGATAGACCTTTATATAACTTTTCTTTGTATCTCAGAGGACAACAGTCCTAAAACATAGAAGTAATTATTATTAAAATATTTATTATAAGTAATTATAAGTATTTAGCAAGTACTCACTAAAAGCTCATTGAAAAAAATGATAACTGCAATATTTTCTTTCACTCCTTATTTTGTGGGTAAGCAAGTTTCAGTAGGAGATAAAATAAACTATTTTGGGTCAAGTATTAGCACAAGGCTTGGAGAATTTTATTTGTGTTAACAAGATTATAAATCACCTTACATGAGGTAATGTCAGATACCTATTTAAAAATATATCATCTTAAATGGATATTTCTTCAAGTAAAGTAGATTCTCCCTGAGTTTCCACAATATTAAGGAAAAGAGAAAATGTTCAACCAGTATTTGTTGAATAAATGAATATATGCCTAGGATCCTCAAACCAAGAAAACATCAAATATTTCCTTTAATTTTAATGAAGTTATGTTTTAAAGTTTATTGTTAGTCTATGGATTTCAAAAAAAAAACAATTAGAATGGATGTCTCATATAGCTGAACAATATGTTCTGTGGATCATCAGATTTTTGAGATGTTGAAATCTGATACAGGTCTTTGACATGGCAACCACAAGACACTTAAATATTTTACAGAAAAAAAAAAACTAAGGATTTAGTCATCATTAACAAAACAAATATATCTAATACAAATGTAATGTCAACCTGCATCTCTCTAAAATGAACTGCTGTACATATAAATGTAGAAACTGTCTCTTTAAACTTTTACCTCGGAGCTACTTGAGATGTAAAAAATTACCAGTAAACAGAATCACTTTCAGAATAGTTGTTTTCAGCCTGATAAAATATGTTCATTCAACAACAAAATGTCTTCCTTTGTAAGTCACCAATTCCTAGAGTCATTGCCTATTCTGTTTCACAGTAAGACACGGAAATATGTTCACAGAAGGCTATTGTTACTGCAGCCTCCTGCAGATGTCTGTAATTAGGGTTAAATGGGTGACCCATGCTTACTTGGAAGTAGAAAATAATTTAAGAAGGAGGTAGCATTTGAATTGAGAATTAAAGGAAGGATCAAGTGTAGGCACCCAGAATAGGGACAAGGCATTTAGGCAGTGGGGAAAGCATGAATAAAAACTTGGAAAAGAAAAATTCATTATGAATAGAAAACAGGGAATATGAGATGGAAACTTAGGGGAAATTAGATAAGAAGATAGGTTGGGGTAAAGTTATGGAAGACCATGAATATCCAGCCAAGAAACATGAACACACAGTTACTTGGGCAGTGAAATGTCGTTGAAGTACAACATTTAAAATGTCCGAAGTAGAATTTAAAATTTCTACAACGTGATTACAAGAATTTTTCTAGTGCTGAATATAGTCATTTTCTAAGCCAGATGTTTCTTTTTTAAAATTAGTATTGTTTTTAAAAATTCAGATAACCAGTATGACTATTAACAGCATTTTATCTCTTTAATTTTAAATATGTGGATAAATGTTCATGCATATGTAAAATATTTCAGATAAAAAAGGGTATAAAGTCAGATACCTGCCTATGATTATTATTAGGAAACACTTGCCTAGTTATACAATGTGTCACATTCATTGAGCTTTCAGAGTTTTAGAGATGATCACACATCCAAGCCAATTGTCTTGTTTTAAGTAATATTTTGCTTATGATCTAACACACAATTGACACTTATATAACATGCAATTCAACAAGCATCCCTTTTTAGTATCCAAATTTAATTTGAAGATGTCATTTGTCTCTGAACATTCTTTGGAAACACAATGTCTATTCATTTTCATTAGCATGTTGTTACATATAATTTGAGCTCTCCTTTACAGCTTATAATTTCCTTCTTTTCTTATGAAATCTCTTCCTTTAAGGATACAAAATTGTTTTGTTTCCCATATTATCTGTCTCATAGAAAAGTGACTGAAATCACTTCTTGTCAACTCATACATGCAATTTACTCAGTAACAGTTAAACTATTCTTGAGCGCAGACATAGCCAGTGTCAGCATTTTTCCCAACTTGCATATTTTTGCTTCAAGGTACGTGTTCTGTCTCCTGGTCCTAAATTGGGATAACTGTTATGACGGCATTTTCCACGATACTAATTAGAACATTCCAATGGTGATACAGGGTAAGAGTTAAATCTTAGTAGTGGCACAAAACAGCACTCAGTCCCTTAAAGTACCAGTTTCTCTTTTCTGAACATTTATCTCCTGGAAAGCATTTATTTTGTTTATTACCTTAGAATTAGAATTTGGGTTTTTATCGTAAGAAATTTTCATTGCTTGATGGTGCAATGTCCAATGAAGAATGGAGGAAAGCCTTCTAAAAGTATGCAGACAGTATGTGCTTTCTGAAACAGAACTGAAGAAAATGCTGTTGTTGCCATGCTGCTATCACAATATGCCACCTGTCAGGAGCATTATGATGGTCTTTACTGGCAGCATTGGGGCAGAGTGAGACAGTAGAATAGAAGAAATGCAGACCAGACTGTCATGAAAACAGTCCTAACCTCAAATCTGTTTGCTCAGGATGTTTGTGTACTTGGGCTATTTCCTTCCTTAATTCCAGTTTTTAATCTCTAAAATTAGATTTATAAAATCTGGTCCCCCAACTTGACAGACTTCTATCAGATCAAACTACTTAAAACTTGTAAAATGCAATTCAACTGCATAGCATTGTTATTCCATATTCCTGTATGTACTCTTAAAATGACTGAGAAAGAGGCTGAAATTGGCTTCCACACATAAGAAGGCAATTTAAGAAAAGGCTGCAAGTAAATAGTAGTAAGGGGTCTATTTTCATCTCAGAGACTTCAATTAAATTGGATTCTTGACTTATAATACAACAAACATGCTTCCATCTTGCCCTTATCATTCTTCAAATATCTAGAAAGCAACTTTTTTTATATTTCACAATCAAACTTAAATCCATATTACCTGGTGGCCTAGTGTAATGAAAATGACCATGGATTTTATGTGAGTTTTATCATAGGTATAAAATAAAGGGATTTGGCTCAATAAATGATTTTTATAAGCATCATAACTAATAGTGAGATGATAGCATGTACTAGAAAGATCACTCATCTTGGGGTCAGAGGTTATGGAGCTAGCTTTTTCATTGCAGAGTAATGTAATGAGCCATTATGTGTTACTTAAAATTCTTTGGTTCTTCTTGTTCTTATCCATAAAATGAAGATAGGCCAGGTGTGGTGGATCATGCCTGTAATCCCAACACTTTGGGAGGCCGAGGTGAATGAATCACATGAGGCCAAGAGTTTGAGACCAGATTGGCCAACATGGTAAATGGTAAAACTCCATCTCTACTAAAAAAATCCAAAAAATTAGCCAGGCATGGTGGTACATGCCTGTAATCCCAGCTACAAGGGAGGCTGAGGCATGACAATTGCTTGAACCCAGGAATATATGTATATATATGTATATACACACACACACACATACATATATGTTTTATATATATATGTTTTATATATAAATATATTATATATAATTTATATATAATATATTATATATTATTTATATATAAAACAAAATGAAGATAAAAACTAATACATAGTAAGACTATTAAATATACAAAGTGATAAACTATGTGTAGGTATTTTCAATTCGTAATAATGCATGCAAATATCAAATTATAGCAGTGGTAGTGTCTATAATAGAAAAGGAAGGAAAGGTAATAATTATTAAGACTTCAGGGTGTCACTAGCTCCACCTATTGTGGAAGGGAATGTAACTAAACCTCTTCCAATGGCACCTGAAAACAAGAGCCTTTCATTCATTTATAGATCTTATAAGAAAGAATGAAAAACCTAATCAAAGGAAAGCTGTCTTAGTCTGTTTGCACTGCTTTAACAAACTACTACAAGGGTAGCTTGTAAACAACAGAAATTTATTTCTCACTTTTCTGGAGTCTGGGAAGTCTAAGATCAAAGCACTGGGAGATTCAGTGTCTGGTAAGTGCCCATTTCCTGGTTCATAGAGGGCCATCTTCTCTCTGTAACCTCACATAGCAGAGGAAGCCAGGGATACTCTGACACCTCTTTTATAAGGGCACTAATCCCATGCATGAGGGCTCCATCCTCGTGACCTAATCACCTCCCAAAGGCTACACCTCTAAAGACCCTCACATTTGGGATTAGGTTTTAATATACAAATTTGGGTGGACACAAGCATTCAGGCACTAGCAAAGGTCAAAGTGAGAACACTATCCGTATTGGCCAGAGGTTGAAGTTACCTGGAACTCTTTTGTTCTCACTCCCTAATCCTGGATTGAAAAGATTTCACCAATTCTTTTGTATAACATTAAAACAAATTTAGTACAAATAGCTTTTATCTTATAAAAAAATTTAACTGAGACACAGAAAGTTACCCAGAATTAAGGTTCAATATAATGTAACATATTTTGATATACTAGTCTAGGTTAAAAATGTAACTACATCAAAAGAAATAAATACAGAAACTGAAATTGAGCTGCTTTGTAATAAGTAATTAGAGTATCTAAATAAATTAGGCAAAAATGAATTGACATAAAACATCTATTGGTAATTCAACTTGTAGAAAATTGGCATATGGTTTTACATAGGTATTTAATTATATTCTATATTTAGCACTTTGATGTACATCTTTATTTCTTTATGCTGTATTTGTATTTGATATTGATATGAAAATTATTTTGCTTCTCAATAAAACTTGATGAGCATTAAAGACATCCATTTATAGTAATATAGGCTTCAAAGACAAACATCTGTTTGGAATTTTTTTAAATTGCTCGATATACATTTACCAAAGAGCAAAGATCCAGATATTTTTAAATGTCCAGATATACTAGATGATAAATCTCTGGGTGATTAATAGGTTACCACTGATTAACATTAATTCATATGCCTAAATGTCCTGAAGCCAAGCTCTTTAGTAACCTTGAAATAATTGCAAGGGGGACAGAATAAAAAATGTAGACAGCTGAATCATTTTCCTTTTCTGAATGGTTAATGTATTCCTGTGATTAAATATACCAATTAACACACCCTTAAATAATATCTATCATGGATAAATATCACAGAAAATATATATTTAGCCAAATATACATCCATTTAACATAACTTCTGTTGGAGAAAACATAAAACTCTTAGAAACTTCAACAACAACAAAGATTTGAGTAAATTTGTATTAGTGAAAGCTCAGAAAATCAGAAATTATTTATGAATTACATGGAAGACATACATTAGTTTACTAACTGGTCATCAAAAACAACTGCAGTGGTGGTAAGACAACTTCCCTAGTTAAAATTACAGAAAACTTCCCTGGTTAAAATTACAGAAAACTTCCCTGGTTAAAATTACTGATTTGGGGATCAACACATTTCTTGACTGACAGTTTCTTTGGATTGGTATGTATACAATACCAGAGTAATTTTTTGAAAAATGAACACATTGCAAACATTTGCTTACGTGGTGATCATAAAGTTAAAGATTTTGACATACTTCTACTCACTTAATATTTTGACTGATACATTCACTCAGAAATCTAAAATCATATAGATTAAAAATTGAAAATAAAGGCTAATAACAGGAGTAGAATAAAAAGAAAGTATAATATCTCAGTTGTGTTGCTGAATTCAGTTTTTTCATTTTTTTTAAGATGCTACCAATTAGAGTCTAGATATTTGTAGATATTCATTTTGGCTGAATCAATTCATATCTCTCAATAAGCTAAATTTGACTAAAAAAATTCTATGTGAATTATCTTTGCCATATCACCAATAATGGGCCCCAAGGCATTGTCAGTATTCTAATTATTGCTAGTTTACCTTTCTCTACAACGAAGGAGATGAAGAAGGAAGTTCTGCAGAACTACGCAAAATCACATGGCAACTTCATTCCATTATCATCCAATCAAGCTATTGATTAATAAAGGTCAATGTGTGGGGTGAAATAATCTAAACAACCAACTGGGGCTTTTGGTTGCAAGCAATAGAAAATAAATCTCGATGATTTAAGCAGTCAACAGGAAGGTAAGAGAATTATACTCAGAAAATAGTATGAAAATGGGAGTTAAAGTCACAGCACACATTCAGCCCACTGAGACCATCACTGCTGCCATGGTTGAATTTTACAAGCCAGAGATGCAGTGCCATGGCCGCAAGCTCTGAATCCCAGGTGTGTTCTCTGCCACTCCTTTGAAAAGACATTCCTTCCTTTGAGACATATAAACCTAGTTAGAATGCAGGGTAAGCCTACTGGATTGGTGAAGCCATTTGCCCAATCCATTTATTTCTTTCTTTTTTGGGTGGAAGAGGAGGGGGTTATGAACAACGCAGATTTATTTCCCACAGCTCTGGAGGCTGGGAAGTCCAAGATCAAGGCAATAACAGATTGGATATGTGGTGAGAACCTGCTTCCTGGTTCATAGATAGCTGTCTTCTCTCTGTGTTCTCAGAGGGGAGAAGGGGTGAGGGAGCTCCCTGGGGTCTCTTTCATAAAGACACTGATCCCATTCAGAAGCACTTCACTCTCACGATTGATCACTTCCTAAAGGCCCCACCTTCAAATACCATCACCTTGGGGAATAGGTTTCAACCCATGAATTTTGGGGGACACAAATATTCAGTCCATAGCAGTGAGTGAAGTCCATTTTTCTGATATTTCGAAATTGTATTGCTTTACTGAACATATCCAGTGAGAAAAGTGAAGGATTTAATAATAATAATAGAATCAAAATAATACATTCTGGAACCTAATGTGTTCTTATTTTTCAGTGGACTCTAATATTTTATTTTCTTCTTTTGTTAACTTTTATTTTAGGTTTGGGAGTACATGTGCAGGTTTGTTACATAAGTAAACTTGTGTCAGAGGGGTTTGTTGTATAGATTATTTCATCAACCAAGTATTAAGCCTCATATCCAATGGTTATTTTTTATACTCCTCTCCCTCCTCCCACCCTCTACCCTCAAGTAGACCCCAGTGTGTGTTGTTCCCTTCTTTGTGTTCAGGAGTTCTTATCATTTATCTTCCACCTATAACTGTGAATATGCAGTATTTGGTTTTCTCTTCCTGTGTTAGTTCATCAAGGATAATGGCCTCCAGCTCCATCCATGTTCCTGGATGGAAGACATGATCTCATTCTTTTTTATGGCTGCATAGTGTTCCATAGTGTATATTTACCACATTTTCTTTATGGAATCTGTCACTGGTGAGTATTTAGGTGGATTTAATGTCTTTTATGTTGTGGATAGTTCTGCAATGAACATTTCTGTGTATTTGTCTTTATGGTAGAATGATTTATATTCCTCTGGATATATACTGACTAATGGGATTGCTTGATTGAATGGTAGCTCTGCTTTTAGCTTTTTGAGGAATCACCATAATGCTCTCCACAATGGTTGAACTAATTTACACTCCCACCAACAGTATATAAGCATTCCTTTTTCTTGGCATCAGTTATTTCTTGACTTTCTATAGCCATTCTGACCCGTGTGAGATGGTATCTCTTTGTAGTTTGATTTGCGTTTCCCTAATGATCAGTGATATTGAGCTTTCTTTCATATGCTTGTTGGCTCCATGTATGTCTTCTTTTGAAAAGTGTCTTTTCATGGCCTTTGCACACTTTTTAATGAGGTTGTTTGTTTTTTCCCTTGTAAATTTGTTTAAGTTCCATATAGATGCTGAATTTTAGAACTTTGTCAGATGCATAGTTTGCAAATATGTTCTCTCAGGTTTTAGTTTGTCTGTTTACTCTGTTGAGAGTTTCTTTTGTTGTGCAGAAGCTCTTTAGTTTAATTAGATCCCATTTGTCAATTTTTGCTTTGTTGCAATTGCCTTTGTTATCTATGTCATGAAATCTCTGCTCGTTTCTATGTCCAGGATGGTAGTGCCTAGGTTGTCTTCCAGGGTTTTTACACTTAGGGGTTTTACATTCAAGTCTTTAATCCATCTTGAGTTGATTTTTGTATATGGTATAAGGAAGTAGTCCAACTTCAATCCTCTGCATATGGCCAGGCAGTTATCCCCTCACCATTTTTTGAATAGGTAGTCTTTTTCCCACTGCTTGTTTTTGTCAGCTTAGTTGAAGATCAGATGGTCATAGGTGTGTGGCCTTATTTCTGGGCTCTCTATTATGTTCCATTGGTTTATATGTCTGTTTTTGTACCAGTGTCATGCTGTTTGGGTTACTGTAGCTGTGTAGTATAGTTTCAATTTGGGTAACGTGATGCCTCCAGCTTTGTTTTTTATTTATTTATTTTGCTTATTAATTATTAACTGTGCCCAACCCATTTCTTCATGGTTGATTCAGAAAAGGAGTATCTAGCTTTTCAGTGTCCACGGTGAGAGGCAGCCCCTGCCTAGCATTAAGACTCACATAAAATGTGGGGAATGTTCCAATATGAGAAGGATATTCATTTGTTGGTCAGATAAACAGACAAAAGACAAATACTCACTAAACTGCATTTAGATAAAATTGGGAAGACAGAATAGATGACAGTGGTTAATGACATAGGTTTTGGCACTGGATTGATCTAAGTGTGAATTTTGGATCTCCTACTTTCTAAATATATAACCTCCAACATATTTCCTATCCTTTCTGAGCATCTGCTAGTTAAAATTTCCATAAGAGTAAAACTGTGTCTGCCTTATTCACTATGGTATTTCAAGCAGCTAGAACAATGTCTGGCAAGGAACAAAAGCTCTAAAATAGTTATTGAATGAATGACAAGGCCAAATCCCACTATTACACATGATGACAGCAGCATGTAACATGACTCCTAAACACTTAAATATTTTATTTGTTTTTATGATTATCCAACTGAAGTATTTCCCCATCAATAGACTAAGCTCTATGGAGTCAGGGATGATGAGGTTTTTAAACTATTTTTTTCTGTGACTGTTTAATTATTTGAGAAGATGTACACATTTACATTATTTAGTCATTGTTGAGAATTGAGAAATATCAATTCAATGGCAATACTCAAATATAAAAGATTTTTCTTTATGTATTTATTATTAAAATTAATATCTCCAATAAAATATAATAAATATTTTAAATTTATGTTCATAAAACTATCAGTAATCCACCTATTTTAAAATAAATCAGTGGCCATTTTTGAAATTTTTTCTAAGTACAATAATTCTACTTACTTAATAACATCATCTTTCTAACTAAAGAGAGTGCATGTAATTAAAAACAGTGTGGAGCTAATCACTTCTGAGACTGTCTTCCCTAGGCCTGTCAGGTTTGTCCCACACTTCCTGTTTAGGCAGGTCTCAGTGTGTCAACCTTTTGTGTAGCCATCCATTCTGACAGACCATTAAATATGCGGCCCCCCAACTAGATAAATGTGTCTATACAGATGTTGCTCCAGTGTCTCCTGGCACATAATTTATTTCCTGAGAGTAGATGAGGAACTCTTACAAGGAGGTATTATTATTACTATTATTAGGGCTAACATTTATCGAACCCTTGTTAAATGTCAGGCTCTATGCTAAGTGACTCATGTACAATTACTCTTATAATCTACTCTAAAACTAGATTAAATAGGGTCTATTATTATCCCCACATTACGGGTAAAGAATGGATCTTAGATAGGTCACATAGCTGGTAAGTCATAGAGCTGGGATTCAAACTGAACCCAGAACTCTATGTGAAACTTCTTCCCCATGTTTTCAGATTCTGACTACTAGTTTCTCTCTCCTCTGTTTTAGCAAAGGATTTTTTTTTAATCTTTGCATTTGTATTTTAACTTTTATTTTTTTCTCTTATAAAGAGAGCCCATTTTGCCTAAACAAGAACCACGATTATGTAAAGGTAAGTACTGAATGAGAAATTTTATATTGTATTACTAAATGTGCTTTCAGTCCAGAGTCATGACCTTATGACTCATGCAGCCAGACACAGCGATATGATAAAGATTTGGCTTGTTAGGGTGATATAATTGTGACATCTCTGTTACCCTAGAAATAAGTTGAGATTAGAAAGCACAGAGAATAGCAAAAAGGAGTTGCCCCTTGAACATAAATGTTTGGATTTTTAGCTCTTCTCAAAAATGATATGAAGGCAAAATAATTTTCCATTGTAGAGAAAAATAGCAGGACAGTGATGAAACATAATCTGACCTATTTATTTTTCAATTTTTCCAAAGAAATCATAAACACCTCTAAAACACATGTATACTGGTGGTGTTAGTCAACTTATATCACTGTCTGTGAAGACGATGCAGCAAATTCAATGAAAGTTGTATACATCATGGAAAAGTTTGAATTGCATGAAGAAAAGAAGCTGACGGAAGGTGGAAAATATTTTCAATACTTAGCAATTTTGAAATACACATTATTATTAACTATAGTTAACTCATTGCTCAGTAGATCTAAGAGAAACTTTGTACCCTTTGACCAACATCTTCCCGTTTCCCCCATCCCCAGCCTCTGGTAACCACCATTCTACTTTCTGCTTCCATGAATTCCATTGTTTTAGATTCCACATATGAGTGTTTGGCTTATTTCACTTAGCATGGTCCACCATGTTATCAAAAAGAACAGAATTTTCTTCTTTTTTTCAGGCTGAATAGTATATCTCTAATACTATTGTGTATAGACTATAATTTATTTACCTATTCATCCATTGATGGACACTAGGGTAGATTTCATATATTGGTCATTGGGATTAGTGCTTCAAAGAACATAAAAATGCAGATATCTCTTTGACATACTAAAGAGAATTGTCATATGATCCAGCAATTCCACTTCTGGGTATATATCCAAAGGAGCGAAATTTTTAAAAAGAGAGAGTATTTCATCATTTCAATCTTATATTCATGTAATGAGAATGTTAGTTATCATCAGGATCTCCTATTATCAAATTGTAGTTTACAACAGAGTTCAGCAAATCTTTTCTACAAAGGATGAGCTAGTAAATATTTTAGGCTTTTCAGGCTAATTGGTTTCTGTAAAAACTGTTCAATTCTGCCATTAATAGCATTAAAACAGCCATAAATAATACACAAAAAATGAGCATGGTTGTATTCCAATGAAACATTAAAAAGAAAAAAAACCAAATAGCCTATAGGCCATAGTTTGCCAATCCCTGGTCTGGAAGAGAGATACTCAGAAACACAAATCCTCCAGGTAAAAATAACTGAGACTGCTTAATGTCAGAGCCTTACAAGATCATACTGGGTAGCTTATGAAAACTGTTGCTAAGAAAGTTTGTGCTAACATTCTTCATATTATTTATGGGTATAAATACTGAGGGGAAAAAAACAAATGTATTGTATTAGCTTAAGATAATGAGATCCAGTTAAAAATGAGAAATATTTAACAAAGTCAAGATGATCTCATTATACTGCTGGTAAACCTAAGTGATTATTACAGATTCTGTGACAGCATGAGCAGGAGAACATCATGAGTAAATATATCCACTAGAAATATATAAATCAGGTCTGAGACCATTTCAGAATCTCAGATGTCTGATCATGGGCAATTTCTAAGCTCTTCATTGAGGTCCTTATAGACACATTTCCCATGTCCACCCTTGCTACTCTTTGCTTCAACATTTGCAGAAGATTTTAAAAGTCATGTGCAGTTATTTAGCAGGCACGCACACCTATGCATATACACACATATGGGCAAAGAAAAATGCATGTATTATTTGAAGAACTAGCATCTCTATGACAAAGGAATCATGGAGGATACAGATTTGAGATTCAATGACTGGAGAGAAAGAGGCTGTCTGTCCATCAAAGCACTATCCTTATTGATACTCTAGTCACAGACACTTTTGAAAGGTCTGCAGTTACTCTTTGACCACACTTTATCTGCTGAATGATCTCAATTACTCTGAAGACAAAGGAAAATATGACTAATACATTCTTTCTCTGGGCACAGGAAAGCTTATAATCCTACCCAGTCATCCAGAGGTTAAAATTGGGAAGATTTTATTTTTTAAAAAACTTGTTGCCAAATCCGCTTTTCCTCATGTTTTCCATGCATTGTGAACTATGCTGTCATCCATGCGATCACACAAGTTAGAAATATGAGAGTTGTTTCTTTCTCTTATCCTCCTACTCTTCATTTTCAAGCCCTGACATCTTGTAGATTCTATCTTCAAACCACTCCTCTGTACAAACACTGCTAAAGGCTTTCTTATCATCACCATTGCAGTTTTTTTTTTTTTTTTTTGAGACAGACTCTCACTCTGTCACTCAGGCTGGAGTGCAGTGGCATGATCACGGCTCATTGCAGCCTTGACCTCCTGGGCTCAAGTGATCCTCTCACCTCAGCCTCCCGAGTAGCTGGGACCACAGGTGCATGCCACCATGTTGGGCTAATTGTTGTATTTTTTGAAGAGACAAGGTTTCACCACATTGCCCAGGCTAGCCTCAAAGTCCTGGGCTCAAGCCATCCACCCACCTCAGCCTCTCAAAGTGCTGAAAGTGCTGGAATTACAGGCATGAGCCACCCCACCTGGCCATCATTACATCTAATCTACACTTGCGGAATAGTATCCTAAGATACCTATCTCTTGTCTTTAAAAATCTCGATTTCATCCTTTACATTGCTGCCAGAATTGTATTTTTAAAAGGTAAAGCTGATTATGTTCCCACTTTAAATGTTCCAATAAATAAACCATGCATGTAGGATAAATTTCAAGCCCTTGGCATAGCATACTTAGTTTTCTGTAGTCTATACTTGGTCCAAAAGGCAATAAATGTACCAGCCCTCTTTCCTGTGGAAATCAGCCCTACCTCCCTGGCTACAAATTGGTCTAACACAAAACTCATCATACCTTTTCATGTTGATGGGTCCAAGGAGTTGGTGTATGACCCAACATGGATCTATCAGAGTCCTCTCCTAAAAGTTTCAAACTCTAGTTGGGAAAAGAGTATTCCTTTCATCTCTGTTCATACAGTTAAGAAACTTGAGTCCAAAACTGAGGTCTGTTTAAAAAAATCTCTCTTCTACATTCCTCTTGTGCAATATTAGAAAAAAGAGTAGAGTAAGATACTCTACAGATAAGAGTAAAAATGAGAAGTGGATACCATCCTGCCATTTAAGTCCCTGGCCACAGCTGTCCCTAAGCCAGTTTCCATTTACCCTAACCCACTCTGGTTTTCCATCTTGTGATATGATCCAGTGAATTTCCTGTTTTAGCTTAGACTACTGTATTACGGTATTGCCACTGTAACTAAAAAAATTTCAATTAATGCAAATTTACATTTCTCTCTCTCCCTTTAGTTCTTTCTGTCACCTCTCTGAAGACCTGGTTCATATCTGCAGCTGCAACTCTATCCCTGAACTCATCTTTGAAACTACCCAGAGGTCAGAGGCAAAGGCCCACCATACTCTTTTTTCTTCTTTAATTTTATTCTTTTTTTTTTTTTTTGAGGGGAATTTTATTCTTATCTTACCTAATGTTGACTTCTTTATTTTTTCGAATCCCAACAGATAGACTGTCAAGAGCTTCAGAGCTTTACAACAGGATCTTCCAAGTGCCCTGAGAGGTCATGATGGAGCCAATAGAAATAAATCATACAAAACAAAGCCAGAACCTGGTGGGAGGGATGCTTACAAAACAACATAAACGAGAAGTTGTCTGAAAAAAAATTGTATGGAAGGAAGAAGAGATGAGATAAGGGAAATGAACTCATAATAGCCCCAGTTAAAATACTTACAGTAAAATATCATTAGTACTACTTGATGTTGGTGAAAGGCTCTAGACTCAAGTCAGAAGGCCCAATTTGTTGCTGTGATTTCTTGAACAAATTATGTAATTGTGTTGAGATTCAGTTTTCTTTTCTATCATTGGGTATTAATAACTTCTATGTGATGTCAGAGTTATGATGTGAAGTTAAAATAACTAATAAATGGGTAAACCCTGAAAATTTGATAGAATTTTGTGAATGAGAGAATCTTACAAATACAGTACCTGAAACCAAAAGAATTAAGTCTCAGCTTGAGGAATATCAGATACTAGGGCAGGCTAATGGGATAAAGGTCTCATTGATCTGCCACCTTCAGTCACACTGAAATGGGGCTATATTTTTTTTATTTACTTACCTACCAGTACTGCCAATAGTCAAAATAGTACTACTTTCCAAGTTATTTAACTTTTTTAGTATAACAGAAAAAAAAATCATTTCTAGTTTTCAAGGCATGGATTCAATGAGTAATATAGATTTATATCACTTGGTGAAGACATGGCAATTTCCCTGATACCACTGAAAAATAAATTTAAAAATGCTATTTGATACCTTCTTTAAAAGCTTTTTTTGTTTGTTTCTTTGCTGAAATGGCAAGGATTGAAGATAATTGGATTTACAAAACAACATAGCAAGAGCTCCCAATTTCAGTATTGTGACAGGTCCATTGATAAAACCTGCTCAGGCAGAGACCAAGTTGGAAGGAAGGATAGGTTATTATTTTAGTTCTCCTGAGGTAAAATAAATATTCTTAAAAACGTGCATCCATCCATCCTCTTTTAAGTAGAGAGGTCATCAGTCTCTTTCCTTATTAAAATGAGCACAAACTGAACATGCATAGATTGATTCTCTCTATTCAGTTGCAGTTTGAAACTTAGCCTGCTACACATTTTAACAGAATTTTCTACACATTTTAACAGACACACACTTTCTACACATTTTTAACAGAAGCATTTTAACAGACATTTCTCAATGTGGCTCTCTGACTTTATGACATCAGAGGAAGCAGTCTTCAACCTGGTAAAAAACGTAAAGAAAATGCAATGTCTACTTATAAACTTAACAAGAATATCAATGACAACTATTTTACCAATGAATTTAAAGATTTGGAGATTTCACATAATAGCCAGTAGCTCTTTGACATAAATATAAAGCTATATAATCCACAATTCCATTCTTTGCTTATTTTATGTTTTTCTGAAGTAGTTATTGAGCACCTATTGTGTGTAAAGAGCTGGAATGGACATAAGAATACAGAATGGCAATAGGTTCAAAGAATGCCAAGTACAGGAAGAGGAAAGATGCTGAGTTCTTGTCTGGATTTGACTTTAATTAGTTTTATGACCTTGGTTAAGTCACTTCTCCCATGTAAATCATTGAACACTTTTTTATTGAGGGCTTCCCATAGGTAGAAACAAGAATGACTGAGGAACAAATAAACCCGGCCTCAGCCTTTGTGGAACTGACATGGTAGTGGGTAAGATAAATATTAAAGAATTAAACACATAAACAAATATAAGTAAAGATTATATAAAGTGTAACCAAAAGTAAATAATGTTAAAGAATTTTTAAACATTGAGCTTCTGATTCAATCGGCCAGTCATGGAATACTTATCCGAGGAAGCAAAATTTAGACTGATACTTGAAGGAAGAAAGATTGCTGGGTGTAAATAACAAACGTGGAAGCGTAACAGATCTGAGGAAGTTCAGGCCAGTGTGGTTGAAACGCAGAGACCAAACGGAAGAAGGCAAAGGATGAGACTTACTAACCAGACACTGCCCAAATCCTGCAAGGCCTTACAGACATGGTAAGAAGTTTTGAATACATCCTAAGTCAAATGAAAAATCACCAACAGATATTAAACAGCTGCATGACATGATCAGATTTGCATTTTTAAAGATTACTCCGGCTGTGGTGTAAATAGTGGATTGAGAGTAAGATGCAGCCATTCGAAGTGGCAGACTAGTTACACACACTGAAATGTAATAATGCTGCAAAAAACATAATACTGAATGAAAAAGGAAAAGACAGAATGTGTTCCAAAGCACAATACCTTTATATAATGATAGCTTGATGAAAACACATACAAATAAAAGATTATATATTAAACCTCTTAAAATGGTTGCTCTTGAAAGGCTAAATAGGGATAGCAATGGGGGTAAAAAAAAATAACTCAATAAAACAAGAGAGGGCTAATAAATGGACCAGCAACAATAGTAGGTTATACGCTAATGAGCATGATAAATTCTTAAGGGCCCTAGTATTTTTAGAATGGTAAATGAGCATGGCTTCAACTTAATGTCACCAGGTGCTTAGCCTGTAAAAAGAGAGTCAGGCTATCTTTAGAAGTTTTGAAGCCAGACATTGGCTTCTCCTCTCTAGCTATGAAATTCCTAGACTGCATCTGCTTCCAAGAGAAGGCTGTTTCATCTACATTGAAAATCTGTTCTTGGATGTAGTCACCTTCATCAATTATCTTAGATAATCTTCTGGATAATTTGCTGCAGCTTCTACATCAGCACTGGTCACTTTACCTTGTCCTTTAAGGTTATGGAAATGGATTTTTTTTTTTCCTAAAACCTCATAAACCAACCTCAGCTAGATTCACACATTTCTTCTGCAGTTTTCCCACCACTCTTAGCCTTCACGGAATTGAAGAGAGTTAGGGCCTTGCTCTGGATTAGGTTTTGGTTTAAGGGAATGTGTTGGCTGTTTTAATCTTCTATCCAAACCACTAAAAGTGTTTCTGTATCAACAATAAGGCTGTTTCCCCCTTTTAATCATCATGTGTTCACTGGAGTACCACTTTTAATTTCATTCAAGAGCTTTTCCTTTGCATTTACAACTTGACTAACTGGCACAAAATTCTAGCTTTCAGGCTGTCTCAGGTTTCAACATAACTTCCTTGTTAAGCTTAATCATTTCTAGCTTTTGATTAAAGTGGGAGACGTGCAACTTTTCCTTTCACTTGAACACTTAGTGGCCATTATAGGGTTGTTACTTAAACTAATTTCAATACTGTTGTGTCTTGGACAATAGGAAGGCCTGAGAAGAGGGAGTGGGATGTGGGAATAGCCAGTCAGTGGAGAAGTCAGAACAGATACAACATTTATCAATTAAGCTTATCATCTTATAAGGGCACAATCTGTGGTGCCCCAAAACAATTATAATAGTAATGAGAGGTGACAACGTGCTAGCAGCCCTTGCTCACTCTCAGCACCTCTTGGACCTCGGCATCCACTCGGGCCACACTTGAGGAGCCCTTCAGCCCACTGCTGCACTGTGGGAGCCCCTGTCTGGGCTGGGTGAGGCCGGACCCGGCTCCCTCTGCTTGCGGGGAGGTGTGGAGGGAGAGGTGCGGGCGGGAACCCAGGCTGCACGCGGTGCTCGCGGGCCAGTGCGAGCTCCGGGTGGGTGTGGGCTCGGCAGGCCCCGTACTTGCGCAGCTGGCCCCAGGCAGTGAGGGGCTTAGCACCCGGTCTAGCAGCTGCAGAGGGTGCGCCAGGCTACCCCAGCACTGCTGGCCCGCCGGCGCCGCACTTGAATTCTCGCTGGGCCCCAGCCACCTCCCCATGGGGAAGGGCTCGGGACCTGCAGCCCACCATGCCCAAGCCCCCCTGTGGTAGGATCCCACATGGCCTGAGCCTCCCCGGCGGGCGCTGCCCCCTGCTCCACAGCGCCCAGTCCCATCAACCACCCAAGGGCTGAGGATCGCGGGCGCGCAGCACGGGACTGGCGGGCAGCTCTGCCCGCGGCCCTAGAACGGGATCCACTAGGCGAAGCCAGCTGGACTCCTGAGTCGGGTGGGGTCTTGGAGAACTTTTATGTCTAGCTGGAGGATTGTATATGCATCAATCAGCACTCTGTGTCTAGCTTGGGGTTTGTGGATGCACCAATCAGCACTCTGTATCTAGCTAATCTGGTGGGGACTTGGAGAACTTTTATGTCTAGCTAGAGGATTGTAAATGCACCAATCAGCACTCTGTGTCTAGCTAAAGGTTTGTAAACGCACCAATCAGTACTCTGTGTCTACCTAATCTAGTATGGACTTGGAGAACTTTTAAGTCTAGCTAGAGGATTATAAATGCACCAATCAGCACTCTGTGTCTAGCTAAAGGTTTCTAAATGCACCAATCAGTGCTCTGTGTCTAGCTAATCTAGTGAGGACTTGGAGAACTTTAATGTCTAGCTAGAGGATTATAAATGCACCAATCAGCACTCTGTGTCTAGCTAAAGGTTTGTAAATGCACCAATCAGTGCTCTATGTCTAGCTAATCTAGTGGGGACTTGGAGAACTTTTTTTTTTTTTTTTTTTTGAGACGGAGTCTCACTCTGTCACCCAGGCCGGACTGCGGACTGCAGTGGCGCAATCTCGGCTCACTGCAAGCTCCGCTTCCCGGGTTCACGCCATTCTCCTGCCTCAGCCTCCCGAGTAGCTGGGACTACAGGCGCCCGCCACCGCGCCCGGCTAATTTTTTGTATTTTTAGTAGAGACGGGGTTTCACCTTGTTAGCCAGGATGGTCTCGATCTCCTGACCTCATGATCCACCCGCCTCGGCCTCCCAAAGTGCTGGGATTACAGGCGTGAGCCACCGCGCCCGGCCGGAGAACTTTTATGTCTAGCTAAAGGATTGTAAATGCACTAATCAGCACTCTGTGTCTAACTAATCTAGTGGGGACTTGGAGAACTTTTATGTCTAGCTAGAGGATTGTAAATACACCAATCAGCACTCTGTGTCTAGCTCAGGGATTGTAAACGCACCAATCAGCACCTTGTCAAAACAGACCAATCAGCTCTCTGTAAAATGGACCAATCAGCAGGATGTGGGTGGGGCCAGATAAGGGAATAAAAGCAGGCTGCCAGAGCCAGCAGCGGCAACCCGCTTGGGTCCTCTTCTACTCTGTAGAAGCTTTGTTCTTTTGCTCTTCGCAATAAATCTTGCTGCTGCTCACTCTAGGTCCGCGTCACCTTTAGGAGCTGTAACACTCACCGCGAAGGTCTGCAGCTTCACTCCTGAAGCCAGCGAGACCACGAACGCACCGGGAGGGATGAACAACTCCGGACGGGAGGAACGAACAACTCCAGACGCGCCATCTTAAGAGCTGTAACGCTCACTGCGAAGGTCTGCAGCTTCACTCCTGAAGCCAGCAAGACCACGAACCCACCAGAAGGAAGAAACTCTGAACACATCTGAACATCAGAAGGAACAAACTCCAGACACGCCACCTTTAAGAACTGTAACACTCACCGCGAGGGTCCGCAGCTTCGTTCTTGAAATCAGTGAGATGAAGAACCCACCAATTCCAGACACAGTAACACCAGTTATCACTGATTGCAGTTCATCATAACAGATATAATAATAATTTAAAAGTTTGAAATATTATGAAAATTACCAAAATGTAACACAGACACATGAAGCATTGGAAAAATGGCACCAATAGTGTTGTTTGATGTAGCATTACCATAAATCTTAGATTTGTAAATAACAAAGTATTTGTGAAGCACAGTAAAGCAAAGCACAATAAAAATGACGTGTGCTTGTATTTTAAAAGAACAGATTGAATTGGGAAGGGTAGTTGAGGAACTGGAAGCAGAGAGAACAGGTACAAGATTCACGTAGTAGTCCAAGAAAATTAAAGCAAGTAGAAAAACTAACAGAAGTTCAGGATAAAAGATTTTGAGGCCTTAACTACACATTTCCAGAAGGAATGGAAAAAGGTCAGAAATGAGAATGTGGAAATATCCTCAGCTGATTTGACTGTAAGTAGAAAGTGTTGGCATAAAAAAAATGGACGAAGCCAAAAAACTCATGGAATGATGAATAATTAAATAAATTGAGGTCTCCTTATCAAAAACAAAAATGAAGACATGTAGATAGAAATTTATATGTCTTTACTCTGTAAAGCTGGGAGAATACCCAGAAGGTATTTAGGAAGTATGTGATAAAAATTTAAGATTGGAGTTAATGAACCAGAGATAGGCATGAGACACATAATAGGTAATAATACAGGTTAGCTGGTAAGATCTTTGGAGCACAGCAAGCTTGGATTTGAGTTAGTAATAATAATTATGCACTGCACATTTTAGCCTTTATAATTTTTCACTGGTTCTTCCACTTAATAGGCATCTTTTAACATCTATTAAGTGTAGGAAAATACTAAGAGCTGGAGATACAGCAGTAATAAATAAAGTTTATTTAAGTAAGTGTAAAGTTAATAAAACACAGTCCCTAATCTCATTACTCTTACACTGAGAGATTTTCACATTCAAAATTTACTGAGCACCTATTGGGTACAGAGGACTTGGATGGGCAAATGAATACAATATGTCTCTTGCTGTGTTGTTGGAACAAGTGGAATGCTGGGGACATCCAAAGAAAGGAGACCACATGGAGGAGGTGATATTGGATCTTGAGGGATGATTAAGAGTCATCAAACAAACGACATTTATATATATATTATAATATCATCTCCTGTAATCTCGCTCACACCCTGTGAGGACCAAGTAAATATATTAAAGATGTATTTCTTATAGAATATTCTGAGCAAGATGAGAGAAAGGATAGTATGATAGCCCTGTCAGTCCTTGTATTCCTCTCCCTAATTTCACTGTTTTGTTGAAAGTGTTTGTTTGGTTTTTTTAATAGTTTTTATTTTGTATTTAGCTCTAGACAAAAGAACAGTACTATTCCTTGAAAACATTTATTCTTTAGGGATATGAAGTGGTATGTTTGCCCAACAAAATACACAATTTCTAAAATATTATGACTAATTCAAGCAAATGTATTCTCTAAAGAAAAATTTCCACTTCACTTTGTCTACATAGAGGTAGATTTAATAAACAAGTTATAACAAAAGTCTTCTGTCAGTATTTTTCCTCAGCACTATTATAAAGGGTGGTAAAAATTCCTTTCTTTGACAAAAGAGACTTTTTCCTCTTTTCCCCCAAGACACTAATGAATATAAATGTGCAAGTAAAATATTTTCACTTAGATTCACAGTGTCTGACACTAATATACTCTAGAGCATTTAAATTTTTCCTCAACTTAAAACTAACTGCCAATTTTTAAAATGTTAATTATTATTCCCCAAATTAAGTAAGAATAATAATATATTTTGCATAGCAAGCATTGTGCCTTCTAAGAAAAGAGGCATTTTATTTTCTGTTTAACTATCTTCTTTCTGTCGATCAGTGTCAGTAGCTTGTCAAAAACAAGTCAAGGACAACCTGCTTTGATATCTATGCAAATAGGATTCAATTATCCCCAATGAGTTTGCAAAACTTGCAGAAGTCATTAATTTGAAAAACATGAGGATTAATGCAGGGGATTTGGAACCTATGTCAAAGACGTTTTAAAATTACTACCATATAAACTTTGATTCTTAAACGCAGAAAATGCCTAATGCAGCTAATTTTAACTACTATGAACTATAACTTACATAATAAAAACACAACTGGCTAACATTATTATCCTCTTTCTTGCATAATTTGTCTAAAAATTAACATCTCATGCTTCTCTTAACTGAAGAACTTCTTCTAACATTTCCTTTATGCAAGTCTGCCAATAATTAATTCTTTCAAGTTTTTTTATTTTGCCTGAAAAAAGTATTTATTTCTTCTTCATTTTAATATAATTAATAGACTATTTTAGCACAGTTTTAGATTTTCTAAAAACTTGCAAAGAAACTGCAAAAAGTTTCTGTGAACCTCACCCCCAATTTCTCCTATGATTAGTATCTTACATTACTATAGTATAATTGTTACAATTAATGGATTAATATTGATATATAGTTACTAGCAAAAGTCCATGGTTTATTCCTTCTTTATTTATTTATTTTTAGTTTTTATGTAACATCCTTCAACTTTTTGTTTTTCTTCAGGACACTATTTTTCTTCAGTATTGTATTGGCAATTCTAGATCTTTTGCCTTTCCATATAAACTTTGAAATACATTTGTCAATATCTCCACTATACCTGGCTGAGATATTGATTGGGATTGTGTTGAATCTATAGACAAAGTTGAAAGAAAGTGACATCTTAGCAATACTGAACATTCTAATCTATGAAGATGAAATATATCTTCATGTTCTTTTATCTTTTTTGATTTATCAGGGTTTTGTAGTTTTCTCCATATGACACCCACACATTTTCATGATGTTTACACCTAAGTATTTATTTTTCTTTTTTGGTATTATTGTAAAAGTTATTTAAAAGGCTTACTTTTTTATTTCAAATTCTGAATGTTCCTTACTGGTATACAGGAAAGCATTTGACTTTCGTGTATTTACTTTGTGCCCTGTAACCTTGTTAAATTTGATCATTACTTCTGAGTATTTCTGTTGATTCTTTGAGAATTTTCTCATAATATCATTTTAAATAAAAAGACAATATTATTTCTTCCTTTCCAGTATGTATGTATTTTATTTTCTTGTCTTGTTGCAACAGATAGAACTTCCAATGTGATATTAAGTAGGAGTGGTAAGATAGACATCTTTGCCTTTTCCTGATACTTGTCAAGAAATATCCAATTTCTCACCACTAACTATGATGTTAATTGTTCATTTTTTTTTGTTTCTCACCACGAAGTATGATGATGATGCTAAAGTGTAGATTTTCTGTTAGCTGTAGGTTCTTTACCAAGATGATGACATTCCTCCCTCTTTTTTGTTTGTCCAGTATTATGATAGCCCCCCTCCAAATGGCACTCTTTATTTCCATCACTACATTTTCGATTTTTGGAATTTCCTTTTGATTATTTCTTAGAAGTTCCATTCCTCTGCTTACATTACCCATTCGTTCTTGCATATTGCCTACTTTTTCCATTAAAGTCCTAACACATTATTCATATATATTTTGAATTCCATGTCTAATAATGCCAACATTTGATTTATATCTGAGTATACTTCTGATGCTTGTATTTGTGCGTGCATTTTCTAGCCTTATGATAGTCCCTTTAATTTTTTTTTGGTTGAAAACTGGACGTTTGTATCAAGTCATAGGAACTGAAGTAAATAGACCTTGAGTGTGAAAGATTTATGTTCATCAGTTAGATGTTGAACTTCGTTTAGTGTTTTCTCCAGTAGTAAGTGCTGAAGTCATGAAGTTCTCCTAGTGTCCTTGTTTTGCCTCTCCTCCTGACTTTGAACTTCTTATTCAGCTGTATCCCACTGTTATTACACTGAATCCCTGTTGCTGTGGCAGTAGGTTGTAGGGCAAGAGAAGCCTCATGTAATCTGATGATTAAGTTAAACCTCTGTCTTTTAGTGGGCCTCAGTCTCTGGGATATAATCTTTATTTTCCTTAGACAGTACATCATTTTTTTAAAAAATGAAGAATGCTCTTAATGTATTCCACAATGATTACTCCTTACCACACTCTCACCAGAGTCAGGACTAGATCTCTATTAATAGACTTTTATCATGATAACGTTGTGCAATTATAAAGGTAAAACCTATGAAAATGTGGGAACTGAAATTTCTAAGACATTCTGGGCTCAAGTGATCTTCCCAACTCAGCCTCCTGAGTAGCCATTTTCAACACTTTGAATATGACATCCTCATGCCTCCTGTCCTCTATCGATTCTAATTAGAAGTTAGCTGTTAATATTATTGGCATTCCTTCATATATGATAAATCTTTTTTATTCTGCTTTCAAGATTTTTTTCTTGGGTTTTAAGTATTTCATTATTATTATTGTTATTTTTAATAGAGACAGAGTTTTATCATGATGCCCAGGCTGGTCTCAAACTCCTGAGCTCAAGCAGTACACCAATCCTGGCCCCACAAAGTGTTGGGATTACAGGCATGAGACACTGTGCCCAGCCTCAACATTTCACTCTATGTCAGAGTGTGGATCTCTAGGTTTATTTCACTTAGACTTCATTAACTTCTTGAATATATATATTGGTGCTTTTTATTAAATTTGAGAAGTTTTAAACCATAATTACTTCAAAATGCTTTTCTCTACTTTTATAACTCCAATGACATATATCTTGGTACACTTGTGTCCCACATTTCTCTGATAGTCTGTTCATTATTTTTTTAGATTATGTAATATTTATCAATCTAACTTCAAGTTTACTGATTCTTCTGCCTGCTTAAATTTACTGTTAAGCCTCTCTTGTAAAGTCTTCATTTAAGTTATTACACTTTTCAACTCCAGAATTTCCATTTGGTTCTTATTTTCCAATTTCTATTTTCTTATAGGTATTTTTCCGTTTTTGAGATATTGTCAATACATCTTCTTTTGACATAGCTGCCTTTAGTTATCTGAACATATTTATAATGTATATTTTAAGCCTCTTTTGCTATGTTCAACATGTGGACCCCTTCAAAAGCAATTTCTTTTGCCCCTCTCCTTCTTTTATCTTGTGTATGTGTCACACTTTCCTTTTTCTTTGAATGTCACATACACTTTTTGTTTAAACTAGACATTTTTAAATAAACGTATTGTAACAACTTTAGAGACAGAGTCCCTCTACCCCGGTGATTGATGTGTTTTTTTGTTTGTTTTTAGTTTGTTTAAAGTCTTGACTAAACTAACTTTGTGAAGTCTATTTTTCCCACAGTATTCAGCCTCTGATATCCCTTTACAGATTTTGTGTTGTGTGTGTTTTATCTTTTTGCCTGATTAACTAGAGGTTGGTTCTTAGCTGGCATATGCCACTTATTGATCAAAACTTTTGCTTAACCCTATTGATTAGTTAGGTGTTTATTCTTTAGTGTTAGATGTGTGTGAAGCATGGAGTTTATATCCCTATTTAAGAAATTTACATTTTTCCCCACATACAGGCAAGCACTGCTAGCTGAGATTTTCTCTTTCTGATTATTTCTGAGAGGGCGCAGCCTTTGACATGCTCACAGTCTTTCAGAATGTGAGATGCATATATTATTAAGACTGGCTTCCTAGGAGTAATTCCTGAGTTTACTTATTGTAGTCGTTGTTCAGTAAATGGTTGGAGATCGTGCTTAAGACCTTTATTTCAATAAAGGCTTCCTCTCTT
The DNA here is from genome assembly GCF_000001405.40 of Homo sapiens. Lineage (NCBI taxonomy): Eukaryota > Metazoa > Chordata > Mammalia > Primates > Hominidae > Homo > Homo sapiens. Next base: position 104,557,663 of record NC_000011.10, on the reverse strand, counting down.
TGCTGATGAATTACGTCTAGCTGCAGAAATGTTTTCAGTTCCATCCCTCCCTCCCCCAACCTCGGGTTCAGCTCTGATTGCTCCTGAGTGGAAGTAGCCTGGCATTTGTGCACAGTCTCATTTTCCCAACCCCAAGGTGGCCTGTGACTTCAGGAGGGCCTCTCTTGGCTGTCTCTTTCCCTGATTCTGTCTGTAAAACTTCTAGCTTCCTTGTCACTTTTCTTGTTGCCACTGATATAATGGAGCTATGAGCGCCATTTTAATTGCTCCCCACCTATATCTGCATTGACTTTTAGAACACCCCTAGGTATAGACTTCTTCATTCTCTATTTCATGTAAGACCAGCTTCTTCTGATTTTTCAAGTTCCTTCAGCATGTGTGGGCCTGCCTTTGCTCCTTGGCAGGTTCTCTATGCCCCTGCATAAGAGCTGATGGTGGGGATAGTGGCTCACCTCTCTCCTAGTGACACCCTTGTTGTAAGCAGGCACTGGGGACTGAGCTGAAACAGGGAAGAAGATGATAGCCTCCGGTCCTCTCAGCTTACTCCTGCCAATATAGGACTTCCTACACGAGGTGACTGAGCTATGGTAGAGACAAAAACGAGTATTCTCTATCTGCTGTGGTTTGTGTGGAGCATCTATCCTATGAATAGACACTGGAAGCAGGAAGGAAGACCCATCCTTTCTGTTACATTCCCGTAATAGAACTTCTACAACACAGGGCTGGGGGAGATAAGAAATGCTGGCCCTCTCCCCTTCCCAGGTTGAAATTATCACCCCAGACTAGAAGTTGAGGGGAAAATGAGCCCCTGCTTTCTTGACCCATCCACCCAGGGTAGCTTCTTTATAAAGGAGATGAGAGAAGAAGTAGGAAGTTGTGGCTTAAAAGCCACAGACCTCAACTATTCTGAGATTTAGATTTTGCTGAGTGAAGATTCTCCACTTACTATATACTCTTAGGACAATATAAAAAACTTTAAATGATTGTGTTTTCATTTTGTAATTTTCTCCAAAGAAATGCTGTTGGGAAGTGGGTCCAACACCTTCACATCACCACTCCAGAAGCAGAGCTCACTTCATAGTAAGACACAATTTATTTGTTTTTCTTTCAGGAATCACTCTTCTAATAATTTCTATTGTTCAATACTTTAAGACAGATTTTATATATATATAACATATATACCTATAAGATATATGAGATACCTATAAGCGAAATAGTTCTAACTTCTCTTAGTGAAATTTAAAAAAAATTATATATATATAATTTATATATATAATTAACAGTATCCATGAAATAAATCATGCTAAAATATTCACACAATTCACATAGAAATATATTCAAAACTATATAAAAACTAGAGTGAGAATTCAATTTGCTCTGTATAGCATATAAGGGGATTATTCTCTCAATTAGAAAATATTACAGTTTGCAGAAAAAAGTCAAAGATGTACTCCAGAAAAAGACTATTTCAGGGAATTTTAAGGAAAACATAGAATAATTATAAAAAATATTTTTAGAAAAAACCAAGGTATTACATTAGTGACATATTCAGCTAAAAATAAATATGGACCAAGAATAATCTTGTTGTTTATTTTATTTTTGGCATTTAGCTAGTTAATACAGATATTTTTAATTTGCCTTAATGTGCATAGAAATATGCAAATTTGATTTTTAGAATAAAATATATTTTAAAAATCACCCTCCTGAATAAAACTGGTTTATAGGTTTACCAATATTAAAAGCTAATTTGATCGTCAGTAAGTAAATATTTTAAAGGTATAGATGTTCCATCATATTAGTTCCTACTTTGCTAATGTTTGTAATATTTAATTCCCACCTTGCAAATGTTATTACAAGTATTTTTGTATCATTTGCTATTTATCATTACCTATTGTATAAACTTAATTGTAAATATTTAACAAGGAAAAATACATGCTTTTTGCTCTCATAAAACTTCCTGTCTATCGAAACGTATATTTTAAAATAATCACATCAATGATTAATAATTGTAAGATAGGCCTGCAAAGAAAATTATAGAGTACCATGAAAATGTATAACAAAGATTTAGAGATATGAGATATGAAGCTTTTTATGCCATGCTTGGCATTATCATAATATGCAGTCATTATTATTGCTCTTGTTATTATTTTATGCCAGTTGAGATACCTATAAGCAAAATAGCTCTAACTTCTCTTGGTGAGATTAAGAAGAAAACTGACAGAGACAGCTGAAATGAAAATACAGTCAATTTTATTTATTTGCAGTAGTTATCACATATAAAGTTGCTACAGACCCTGAATTAGCAAATACTAAATCATTTCACTTAGGTAAAACATAGGGTTATATTCCTACAAGCCTCTAGGAACAACATTTTCATCAACTCCCCTTGTTTCATGTGTGTTTCTATCTAAAAATAGATATTTTAACCTTTTACTTATGTTCAGACGTAGATGTGAAGTTTGTTACATAGGTTGAACTAATTTACACTCCCACCAACAGTGTATAAGATATTTTTTGTTTTTATTTTTATTCTTTTGCTTTGGATTGCCTTGGCTATTCGGGCTCTTTTTTTGGCTCCATATTAATTTTTAAAATACATTTTATATATCTGTGAGGAATCTCAATGGTAGTTTAATAGGAATAGCATTGAATATATAAATTGCTTTGGGCACTATGAACATTCTAATGATATTAATGCTTCCTATCCATGAGCATGGAGTGTTTTTCCATTTGTTTAGGTCATCTTTGATTTCTTTGGTCACTAGTTTGTAGTTCTCTTTGTAGACATCTTTCACCTCCCTAGTTAGCTGTATTCCTAGGTATAAAAATAGCTTATTCAATATATATCATTGATTCATTAATATTGAACTGATGGCCAACAACATTATATTGCATACCTGAATGAAACTTACCCAACACATATATTTTCTCTGCAAGGCACATCACAGTATTCCTGTGCTTAGGAACAGTGGACAACGCTTCAGCATGATGCTTAGGGGACATTTTAAACAGGGCAATCATCAACAAGCACTCAAAAATGTGGGACTATACAGATAGGGAAAGGAACACTTGTTTGCATCAGGAGAGCTGAAATAAGAACCCGGGACTTGCTGTGTTTGACCTCAGCTGAGAATGTGCTTGTCTGGTGACTGAGATTTTTGCTGCTCTGTGAAAATGACTACAAAAGCACTGTGAAGATAGATTTTTGAGGTTACAGATAAATTTTAGCAAATGGGCAAATTCACAATACAGTATCCATGAATAATGACAATCAACTGTATACATGTTAAATAAACCATTTGAATCTGTAGATTCATGTAAGAAAACAATACTGGGAACTGGTGTCCTGGGCAATTCCTTAAGACAACTTACTATCCAAGTATTCATATTGGGAACCAAAAGTTTTTTGATTTCTGGAAAACTTAATATTTTAACTTCATTCCTGCTTATAAGAGTTGTCATATTAGCATCATCATTTTACTAGTAGTTACATAATTCTTTTTTTATTCCTTTAGGCCTTAAAATTTTACTCTGCTTCATAGTTGTAAAATATATGTGCTACTTATAACATAGAAATAGAAATGTTGACTCCAGTTCATAAAGACTTGAAGAACCTAAAAATGAGTCATTAATATAAATATTGTTATATTTTCTCTGTGCTGGACTTCCATATTAAAGACTGAGACAGCTTCAATTAGGGTATTAAATAGAGATTATGTACAAATTTCAGATGCATGTCAAGTCAATGATAGACGTCAGCAGAAAAAGTTGAAGCAAGTTGTCAGCATAATTTTCTGGACTGCAGTATTTTCTGAATTTAATATTATTTGCCTCAAACTACCATGAATTAAAATATATAAGTTGAAATACATATATATATATATACACACACACACACATACTACATATATAGGCATATATTAATATACATACATGCATATATACATAAATATATAATACATACATATTTTAACACAAATGGGTATTAAGAAAATAAGAGTAGACCAAATATGCAACATGTTATGCATATTCAGTTTTATTACTAAAATAATCAATTGATCTATTTTATCAGTATTCTTTGTTGATTTGATAGATTGTAAAAATTGATACTATCTGTCCTGAACATATACAACAGTGGAAGACACTAACTGTCTTCTAAATAATACACATTTTTCATATATAACTGTGTGACCAGATCTGGTCATAAAAACAAGAGCATTAGTTGGAAGTAGCATGTGTATTTCAGTATTATGAATTTGTTGTTTCATAATGATTATGTTATTTTAAATACATAACCACACTGCATTTGGCTCAAAACTGTATTTTCTCAGTATTTTCATAAGCATAAGACATCACACAATACAGCTACAGCAAGTTTATAGCAAGTTTATAAAATCATGTTTCTATGTGTGTACTTGCATTCCCTGGTACTAATATGAATGAAACCTATGATGCATGATGTCAACTTCCTGATATCATTTTGATTTCAGTTACTTCTGAATAGACTCTGAAGAAAAATAAATAAATTTTAAAAACTTTGTTGGGATTAAGTTACACTTAAGAATCTTGAATGATAAGTAGGGGATCTGCAGAAGTTGTGTAGAGTAAAGCACAATGCAACTAGAAAGTTATAGGTAGTTGGTTGGAATCATATTAATGCATTTGCATTTCAACCTGTCGGTATCATATGGTGTTGAAGTACTGAACAGATGTAGTAGGAGACTGCATAGTTGATTTTCTATTCAAGAATGTCACTAAAGGAAAAGGATTAGGAGACAAAAGATACTAGAAAGAAGACCTCTTATGAGTCAAGCGTAGTCTTCCAAGGAAAAGGTAAAAAAATAAAATCTTGAACTAGAGTTCTGGTCCTGGGAATCAACAGATGTAGACAGACAAAGACAGACAGTTCATTAAAAGATAGAATTGACAAAACTTATTACTTGATTAGTTGTGTGAGGCTGAAAAATTAATTTAAGATAGTGCCCAAGTTTCCCTCAAACTCAATGGTTGGTAGTTCTAATAATTAAGAAAAGGTATGTGGATGAAGTGAAAGGGGAAGAAACAAGAGGGAAAAGAGTGAGATATTTGATACAGGAAGCACTCCACTGCTATATGGTTGACATTAATAGTCTGAAGAGCAGATTTGAAGTCTAGATTAGACACGTAGCATTAAACTCTTATCAAGATATCTCTTTCAGTCTCTTCTTTGAAAGGATCATATTCTCTTCCTTTCTCAGTTTAACCCACCTATGTAGAAGTGAGCATTTGTTATCTGGCTTCGGTCCCAATACTGTTGAATGGCTAGAGCAGGAAAATACAGAGAACACATAAAAAAGTCAAAGCACATTTTTTTTTCACAGTTGGAGAAGGGAGATCATCACAAGACTCTTTATTCTCCAACTTCTGATTTCATCCAACAGTGATTGCTGAAGCTCTGATGAGCAGGTGTGCCAGGGTTTATTAATCATGAGAAGACATGGTGCTATGACAGCTCTATGTCAGCTTTCAGCAGGTGATTTGCTGCCCTGTAAGCTGGAGCTATGCTGAACTTTGTTCTCTCCCAAGTGGAAAGCATATAAGCAACTTCTATTCAGGCAACCCATAAGCAACTTGTGGGTTTGGGCATCATTGCCTTGATGAACATATCTTTTTCACATGCTGACCTCTGATTGTTGTGATTTAAGTGGCCAGTCATTGTCCTCTTGCTGCTAATTTGGATTCCAAATCTTCTTGTTATGTCCTAATATTTCTGATTCTATGAATTTCTAGATGCTTTGATTTCTGCCTTACTTCTCTGGGTTCGTGTGCTCTATATTTATACCATACTTCCTTAATCTTATCTAAAGCTCTCTGTCCACATGCCCACACATACTTGAGCTCCCCCTTAACATTCAGGTACTGCCTGAGCCAACCACCACCCACCGGAACAGTTCCCTACTCAGAGCCCATTCCTCACTGCTGTCTATGATACCAATTCTAATAGAGGCTGAAACTCAGTGGTAGTAAAGAATGGCAATATGGACACAGGAGTGTCAGTTGTTAGAGTCACAAGTTCCTCTGGGTGATTAAATTTTTATTGCACATTGCCCATGGGAATATTCAGTCTTATTCTCTTTCAACATATAATTTTAGAGAAAAAGAAACCTACTACCTCTAAAAGAAATTATCTGCAGAAGTCATGATGTGAGTTGAGAGAGGTTTGATCCCTAGGGAAACACTTTCTAAGTTACTTTAATAAGACTGCAAACATAAAATACAGAAAGTCATAAAACCCAGAAGTTTGACTTGGTACAGTAATGCCATCACCCATGGGTATATATTATATTGTATGACTAGTTAAGTCACAAAATGTTTCTGAACATACATACATGCCATGCAGGATATTACCTTCTAACTCAAAACATCACTCTTACCTAACTTTTCTCTATGTTCATCGCATCTAGCTTTTTCTGTAGTTTCTGGCTTTCCTACTGTTCTTTTTTTCTGAATGTTTTGCTCCAAATTAAATACCAGATGCAACACTTATTCAATATTTGATATGTCACATTTAAAAAATTTTATAATTCACACAGCGTGCTCATCTCTATTTGATTCTCAAATAATTTCTTAAGATTGTCAAGATAAATATCACTATTCCTATATTCTGAATGAAGAAACTGAGGCTCATCAAGGTTTATGCCAATGACTAAAATCATTTCATAGCTTATTTAAAACTGCACTCCTTGACACCTGCCATTCCCTTATCTTTCTGTACTATTTTTCTTATAATTTACCATAATCTAATATACTATATATTATACTTATTTATCTTATTTTTTATCTCCCCCCATACACTAGAGTGTAAGCACCATAGGGTAAGGAATTAGCTCTGCTCTATTTGCTGTTGTAACCTGAACCAAGAAGAATGTTTGGCACACAGTAAGTATTCAGTACATATTTATTGAATGAATAAACATAAGATTGAAAGAGAACTTTCTGTTAGTAATATTAGATACTTAAAAATCATGGACAAGTGGCTTCAAAATATTATAGCTGAGAAGTAAGTACCCAACTGCCCAGCACTGTTCATACTTGCATGATTTCATGATGGAGTTTATCACAGTGGGTAGGAGAAAACCATCTCCAGGGTGAGACTCCCTGGATTTAAATCTCAAGTCTACACTTAGCAGCTTTGTGACTTCCAAAATATTATAGAATCTTTCAAGCTTCAATTGTTAATTTGCCTTATAGAGGTGATAAAAACATTACTTAATTAGTAAAACTTTTGCGAGAGTAAAATGAGTGACCTATGGTGATTGCTCAGTCAAATGATGCTAACTTAAGTAATAGTAATCGTTTAACCCAATATGCTATGTACATTTGTTATCATTATTTTACACATGAAGAATGTGAAGTGTGGTAAGATTAAGAAATTTGCAGTTGGGCACTGTGGCTCACGACTAATCCCAACACTTTGGGAGGCCAAGACAGGCATATCACTTGAAGTCAAGAGTTCAAAACCAGCCTGACCAACATGGTAAAGTCTCACCTCTACTAAAAATACAAAAATTAGCCGGGCGTGGTGGCACATGCCTGTAATCCCAGCTACTCAGGAGGCTGAGGCATGAGAATTGCTTGAACCCATGAGGTGGAGGCTGCAGCGAGCCGAGATCATACCACTGCACTCCAACCTGGGCGACAGAGTGAGATTCCGTCAGAAGACAGACAGAAAAGAAAAAGAATAAAAGAAGGAAAGAAAGAAAGAGAAATTTGCTAAAGATTACATGGCAAATAAGATGAAAGAAAGAAGGAAGGAAGGAAGGAGGGAGGGGGGGAGAGAGAGAGAGAGAGGGAGAGGGAGAAGAAAGAAAGAAAGAAAGAAAGAAAGAAAGAAAGAAAGAAAGAAAGAAAGAAAGAAAGAAAGAAAGAAAGAAAGAAAGAAAGAAAGAAAGAAAGGAAAGAAAGAGAAAGAAAGAGAAAGGAGAGGAGAGGAGCAGAAAGAAAGAAGGAAAGAAGGAAGGAAGGAAGGAAAGAAAGAATGAAAGAAAGAAAGAAAGAGAGAAAGAAAGAAAGAGAAAAAGAGAAAGAAGGAAAATTTTGCTAAAGATTACACGGCAAATTATAACCTCAGATCACTCTGACCCCAAAGCCCATGTTCTTAACCTCACCAATATACAGTCATTTGAAAAATAACTTTAAAATCAAGAGAAAATCTCATCTGCAACAACAAGAACATTATATTACACCAACATACTAACTGAAAGATATATTTATTCCAGTTTTAAACTGATGTTGTATGTTGAAAATAATCTGGGTTTTCCAAGCAGAGAAGTAAACATCATACAGTAATGCATCCTGTAACATTTTAGTCAACGACCAACCACATAAAGACAGTGGTCCTTTAAGATTATAATAGAGCTGAAAAATTTTTATCACCTAGAGATTTTGTGGCTGTCATGCTACCCTACCATGATACATTATTCAAGTGCTTGTGGTTATGCTGGCATAAACAATGCTACTGTCCTTTCAGTAGTATACAAGTATAGCACATGTAATTATGTATAGTACATAATACTTGATAATAAACAACTCTGTTACTGGTTTAAATATTTACTATACTTTTTATCATTATTTAAAAGTGTACTCCTTCCACTTAAATATATATATTTTTACAAAGTTAACTATAAAATAGCTTCAGGCAGGGGCGATTCCAGAAGAAGGCATTGTCATCATAGGAGTTAACAGCTTTGTGCCTGCTATTACCCCTGAAGACCTTCCAGTAGGACAAGATGGAGAGGTGAAAGACAATGATTTGAGTGACCCTGATCTTGTATAGGACTAGGCTAATCTGTGTGTTTGAGTCTTAATTTTTTTAAAAAAGTTTGAAAGTTAAAAAAAACACACACATTTTAAAAATAGAGAAACACTTATAGAATAATTACATAAAGAAATAAAATGTTTATACAACAGTACAATGTATTTGTATTTTAAACTAGGTGTTATTCCAAGAGTCAAAAAATTTAAAAAAGTGTATAAAGTAAAATTACAATACCACAGTAAGCTAAGTTTAATTTATTATTGAAGAAAAAAATTTGTTTAATAAATTGAGTGTAGCCTAGGTGTACAATGTTTATAAAGTCTACTACAGTGGTGTACTCTAATGTCCTAGGCCTTCACATTTACTCCACTCACTCACAGACTCACTCAGAGCGCCACCTTCAGTACTGCAAGCTCCATTCATGGTAATTGCCCTAAACCATGTACCATTTTTTATCTTTTATACTGTACCTTTTCTATATTTAGATGTGTTTAGATACACAAATACTTAACATTGCATTAAAATTGCCTACAATAGTCAGTAGAGAAACATGCTGTACCTGTTTGTAACCTAGGAGCAACAGGCTATAACGTATAGCCTAGGTGGATAGTAGGCTGTACCGTCTAGGTTTGTCTAAGTGCACCCTATGATGGTTGCACAATGATGAAGTCACCTAATGATGCATTTCTCAGAATGTGCCTCTGTTGCTAGGCTACATATGACTGTATATTCAAGAACATGGTTAAATCATCTCATTGTACTTAGCCAGTGCTACAGCAAATATTTATTGAAATAAGCTCACCTCCTAATGGGATTTATAACTAGTTTTATTAAATAGGAATTTCCATTGAAATAGCATTTGCTACTTAGGGTTTCACCAGCAAACAATATAATCTCTCATCCAGGAATTTAGATCTTAAGTGAATTTGAAAGGGACATATCAGATACATAGTAGATATAGTAATATAACAATAATACACATTGATCATGATTTGGGTGAATTCTCTCAGTTGCTCTCTCTCTTTCTCTCTCTCTCTGTCACTCTATTTCTTCTCTCCTCTCTCTCTCTCTCTGTCTTATTCTTCAGTTTGTGAATGTGCACATGTAGAAACTTAGGAATCTGTATGTGAATGGTTGTTAAGGTAGCTTGTCTTGAGAGTTTCTTTACTACAGCAATGACTGATAAAGGATCACTGCCAAATTGTGGACACAAACACAAAAAGAGACAAAATTAGAGAGCAAGAGACAAAATAAAATCGAAGAACCAGTGACACCAGGTCTACTAGGGCTGAATTACCAAGGAAAGGATAGCAGTTCAACACATTTGCTTCAAGTCTACCGCCCAGTAGCCTGGAGTAAATACACTGGGCTATTCTCTTTTCCTTTTCCCAAATAGGATCGGGGGGTGAACTTTTTATTTATAGAAGAAAATAGTTACAGGAAACAGAAGAGGTGGTTAGAATGCAGTCTGTAACCTTAGCCCAAATTTTCCCTCTTTATTCTCAGAGAAAGTCATATATATATGGAGATAGAGAGAGAGAGAGAGCAGGAGAGAGAAAGAGAAAGAGGATTCCTTGTACTTTTTTTTCCTATTTTCTGCCTACCAAAATTTTGACAATCCTTTTTCCTTGAACTATATCTTTTTATTTGAATCAGATGTTGATTAATGTTTTCTTTTGATATGTTTCAATCAATTCTCAGATGTGCTTCTTCTAGTAGGGTTTCTGCATTTTCACTGATTTATGATTTATATGCTCTACTAATCCTCATGATGAATAATCTGTCAAAAACCACTCATATATAGTACTTGTCAGACAAGCAAAAATATTTTAAGTGAAAGAAAATCAAAACAATCAGTACCACTTTAACATTTATGGGTTCATGTAATACTTGGATGAAGACTGTGTGTGTATACGTATGCATATATATACATATACCTGCATATATTCATATGTATATGCATGTACACATACAAAACTGTGTGTGTGTTAGTGTAAAACCCTGCAACCAAATCTTCTGTTGTATTTTTTTGGCTGATTAAAATTTATTATGCACTACTGGCCTCAACTTCTAAATTATCAACATTGGTGAAATATAAACCAGCAAGGGGGTATTCAGTAACTCAACTTAAAAGAGTCGGATGACACTGGATGCCTTTGCAGTGTTGTTCTAGCAATATCTAGAAAATTCCTGCCTTTGACTCTGTGTCACAAATGACCAGTGATGCATATAGAGAATGTGGTCACAAAGAAGTACAAGAAATTTGAAAACAGAAAAAAATTGAGAATGATCTACCTAACCACTGGTGTATTCATGATAGTCTCTTTATATACAAACATAACACATAAAAATAATACGCATGCCTGAAACACAGTTGGCAGTCAATAAATTCTACTTAGGGAAGACGATTTTATAGAAGATAGGAATACAGCGAATATGAGCCAGACCTGGGATCAAATCTTAGTTCAAAATTTCTTAATTTATGTAACTTTGGGCAATTTATACACTATCTATAATGTTATATCATCTGAAAAAATCATGCTAACAATAACAGCCTTATAGAGTTATTGTGAAAATGAAATATTATATATAAACAATTTTAGTCTCTGGATCATACAGTATCTATCTCTTCTATCATCATCACCACCACCATCAACAGTTTTCAGTATTTTTACCTCATTTTTTATTAGATAATAGAAATCAGCTAAAGATGAAAAATATCAAAATTCTGCTATCTAACAAAAGTGTTATTAGGAATCAGGATCAAGTTGTCATGCCAGAGTCAGATGTATGATAGTATTAGGAGATAGTTAAACCAAAAAGACAATAAAATAAAATAAAATAAAAACTCTATAAACATGGATGAGATTTGGAGAAGGTAAGGGGAAAGCAGAGTTGGGGCTCCATGCACTATAGGTAAAGGGCCTTCGGGTGGTACAGGGCTTACTTGTCTATAGTACAGATATCCATCTTCAATGACCAATAATTCTCTCCTTTTGGGTTCAGGCACATACTTTCAAGTTCTCTGTGTGCCCTTCTAAACATCTAACTGAATTTTAGACTTGGTAATAGAAATTTATAATAAGGGTTGAAAAATTATTTCCAGAAAATTGAAGGAAAGTCAGAGGATAATCTAATGAATGAAGAAAACTTGTTCATTCGATAGTATTCTATGATAGTTATATTATAATAGTAGTATCTAAACTCTAGTTTTTTAGTTCTTAAGCTTGATCATGGAAAAGAGATACTCATTTTAATAGTATTTTCTGGAGTAACGGCACTTTAAAAATGTTACTCTATTCTCTGGCATGTACATTTCTCAAAAGAAGTCTATAGAAATTGTTTATTCAGTTATTAAGAATTTTTTTTCTTCAGGTGCTATTAAGCTGTTTCTATGTATCACCGATTTTCAGGAATTTGATTATGATGTGTCTCAGCATAATTTAAAAATTTTTTACATGGGCTATCTCTTTTTTTTACAAGTAGTGTCCAGTTTTTTTTTTTTATTTATTATACTTTAAGTTCTGGGACACATGTGTAGAATGTACAGATTTGTTACATAGGTATACGCATGCTATGGTGGTTTGCTGCACCCACCAACCCGTCATCTACATTAGGTATTTCTCCTAATGCTATTGCTCCCCTAGGGCCCCACCCCCTGACAGGCCCCGGAGTGTGATGTTCCCCTCCCTGTGTCCATGTGTTCTCATTGTTCAGGTACTTGCACTGGGACTACTAAAAGAAACAACTTTACCCATGAAGAATGCAGAAAAGCAAGGCAGGATGGTGGCCCACCCTGGAAGGACATGGAGCCAAGGGAGCCTCCCCCATCCAGGGAGGTGGTGAGTGAATGCTGTGGCCCTGGGAACCCACGCTTCTCCCATGGGTCTTCGTACCCTTGGGTCAGGAGATCCCCTCGTGGACCCACTCCACCAGGGCCTTCAGTCTGACACACAGAACTATGTGGAGTCTCATCAGAGCAGCCATTGAGGTATGTGCAGAGACCTGGGCTCTGGAAGACATTGTTCAAATCCCACTTATGAGTGAGAAGTAATGTTTGGTTTTCTGTTCTTGTGTTAGTTTGCCGAGAATGATGGTTTCCAGCTTCATCCATGTCCCTGCAAAAGACATGAACTCATCATTTTTTATGGCTCCACAGTATTCTATGGTGTGTATGTGCCACATTTTCTTTATCCAGTCTATTGTTGATGGGCATTTGGGTTGGTTCCAAGTCTTTGCTACTGTGAACAGTGCTGCAATAAACATATGTGTGCATGTGTCTTTATAGTAGAATGATTTATAATCCTTTGGGTATATACCCAGTAATGGGATTGCTGAGTCAAATGGCATTTCTGGTTCTAGATCCTTGAGGAATTGCCACAGTGTCTTCCACAATGGTTGAACTAATTTTCTTTCTTGGGGTTTGTGGAACTTCTTAGATGTGTGAGGTTATAATTTTCATCAAATTTAAACAGTTTTCAGCCACTATGTCTGAAAATATTTCTTTTCTGTCCTCACCATTGCTCTTCTGGGACTCAAACTATATGTACATTAGACAGCTTACTATTTTCCCACAAATTTCTATGACATGGTTTATTTTTCTCAGTATTTTTTCTCTTTTTGCTTTACTTTACAGGGTTTCTATTTTTTTTTAATTTTATTTTAGGGTCAGGGATACAAGTGAAGGTTTGTTACACAGGTAAACTCGTGTCACAGGGTTTTGTTGTAAAGATTATTTCATCACCTAGGAATTAAGCCCCATACCAATAATTATCTTTTCTGCTCCTCTCCCTCCTCCTACCCTTCACTGTCAAGTAGGCACCAGTGTCTGTGGTTCCCCTCTATGTGTCCACATGTTCTAATCATTTCACTCCCACTTATAAATAAGAACATGCAGTATTTGGTTTCCCTTGAAGTTACTGTATTTACTCACCCCTTCCATTCCTCTCCATGAGAGCCACCCACACTAGCTGCTTTGAGTCAGCCATCTTGGTCCTCTTTCCTATGTTTTTCATATACATGTAAAAATTAACTACTTTGCATTGTGGTATCTGTTAGTGTATTTCTATGCAAATGTAAAAATGTTCTCTATGTGGGTGATATAACACATAAAAGTATTCCTTACAAATAACTCTATGGCTGCCGTTTCAAATGACAATATCGAGTGGGTAGGGGATGGAGTTGAGTAAGCTGTGTTTACTAAACAAAAAGATACTTATTAGGGTATCTACTTCCAAGTCTACCCTTTGGTGCATTACTTATTTATATCTATGCCAACTAAAAACATGGTCATAGTTTTAATCACACAAGACTATGACTTCTAGATTTTAACCCCTGGGACCTTATTCTATCATGTCTTAATGTAAAAGCTTAACATTGGTCTAGGCACTTAATAGATGTGTGATAAAGGAAGAATGAATCCTTAAAGCAGGGGAAAGATACAATCTATTCAAAGTAAACTTCTGTTTTTCTGCTCATTTCTCCTTTGAAAGTGTAAGCTATATGGAGGCATCTTTATCTCCCACTACGTTTTCTGATTCAGATGCATATATAGCAGGCCTCGGAGATATTGCAAGTTTGGTTTCAGACCATTGCAATAAAGCAAATATCACAATAAAGCAAGTCACATTTTTTTGGTTTCCTAGCACATAGAAAAGTTATCTTTATACTATACTTTAAATCTGTTAAGTGTGCAAAAAAGTAAATATATATCAATTAAAAATAATTTATTGTTAAAAACTACTGACACAGAGACATGAAGTGAACACATGATGTTGGATAAATGGTGACAACAGACATGCTTAATGCAGGGTCACTACAAACCTTCAATTTGTAAAAATATGCAATATTTGCAAAGCACAATAAAGTGTGATGCACAATAAAATTAAGTATGCTTGTATAAAGGAAGGGGCGAATTAACTGGAAAATGCAATCTACTCAACAACCCTTCGCACTGATTAGGGTGTTTAATTTGCACCTTCTTTCCCATGGGAGTATGGAGCTCCATGTAAAGCAACTTAATGATTATTTTCAGTAAATACAGGTGACTATGACTATAAACAGGCTCTGTCTCCATTAATAAGAGAATGCAGTATCCCGAGTCCAAAGTCATTGTATTTAATGAATACAACTGACTGTAATGATTTATTCGTAGATTTATCAGTGATTATAAATTATTTTTATAAGCTTTGTTCAAACCACACAAAGCACAAAAATAAATCATCTCAAGATTCACTTTTATAAATTGAAAAAAATAAAATTTGCCAAAGACTTTACAACACTTGGAATGAAAATAATCACTAAATAAAGTTTAACCATGTGGCTTTTACCAAATTAGAAACATATTTTTTTAAGTCAGGAAATATTGAGCGATAGCATTCCAAGCACCATATTCCACTCTCAATGGAACATTACAAGTCAAACTATTGTTAATTATACGGAATGATATGTTGACGTAAAAAGAACCTTGGGTGTTCTCACTGAAAGAAAATTAAGTTGCCATTTTTTTTTGTAGTGAGTTTACATCTTCTTCCATAGTATTGAACAATATCACAAATAGGAAAATAAGATGCCTTGAATGATAACGTCCTCTTGTGAAAACATCAAAATAACATGTAGTAATGGATACGGTTGTATTTCCTAAGTCTTTGCTTTGAAATTTGCAAATCCCAACTCATAAATGGCTTGTAAATAATTGATTCAGAAATCTGTTCAGTTCCCACAACATAAACAAAATAAATGCACCTCATTTTGAAAGCAAAATGTTTTCTTATGTTCCACAAAAGGCTAAACATTTAAGCTGTGTAATGGATCACCATGGGAAGCTTTATTCAGGGATGCATAAAATGAATGCATTTTTATCAAAATGGTGTTTATGAGATCTCATTTAGCCGGAGTGTACATCTGCTGAGGCTATTAAAAAGTCAAAATGTCTAATGGGCAACTGGCACCACAGTTAAGCTTTAGTCAGCATTTTCTGTTCTGTGTCCCATAAATCACAATAAATCCAGAAAGAAGTCAATTGTTAACAACTCTAAACTGTACTGTTGCATAATGGGAACAGAGAAATGCAATAACTAAAGAGTCTCACATTTAGGTGAGTGAATTAAAAAGGTTTAGTTTAGATAGGATTTAGATTTAACAGCTCTTTCCACCAAGCTGAAACTTATCACACTATCTCAGACTTCATTCTGCAGTATTAGAAACTTCATTTCAGCAGGTTTAGTGATGGGCTCTTGGCAGATTACAAAGATTTGTTATAGCCAAGTTGCTGAGCAGTGAGAAACAGAAACAAGAAAACTGGAAACTTAATGGTTCTCTGATACTATTTTGATTAAGGTTGCAAATATTTAGCTATCATTCATTTAGAGGTTTGCAGCATTTACAATTATTTACTTTGGGGAATGATAAATTGAACAATATGTTATCCAAGGTTTTCCTTTTTGTGAACTGTTTAAAAATGACCGACCTAAATATGAAAGGAGAATTTGGCCAGTGCAAGCAGATGGCAGTAAATTTAATCTGAAGGTCCTCCCATTGATGAATCTAAATTATTAAGATGGACAAGATTCAGGGGGCAGCAGTATTGAAGGCTCCCTGGATTAACCTCTTGCATTTCTTTAGAGGAAAGGAGGACAGCTATAAACTACCACTAGAGTTTAGTTCTCAAGAAGGAATGCAAGGAAGCAAAGGAACATTGGCTCTTCCTACCTTAACCTTTATCCACTCCTGATGTAACACTCATTTAACAGTACTTTATACCCCACCAAAAAATTCGAGAATGTCTGCTCCTTGTGATGGCTTTAAAGCAATTATGGTAATGTTACAGAAACAGCTCAAGACTGAATGCCAAGTGATTTAAATTCATATACCTAAAATCAAATAAAGTTGAATTGAGTTACATAAGATCCCTAGAGCAATGGTTTTAAACCCTAGCACCAAGTTAGGATTATCTGAGATACTTACGTAAATTGTCAGTGGCCCATACCCTTCTCCCACTTTTCTGAAATAGTGGGAGGACAACTCTCAGCAGCAGTACATTTTAAAATACCACCATAAAAAAGGGCTTTGTCTCTGGGGTATTTTGAGGCATTCCATGTAATAAGCAGAATTCTAGACCTTATAGAGCATGCAGTGCACCTGAATTTCCTCAACCTTCATGTTGTTTTCCTTCCTCTTTTTGTTCTTTATTCAGAAAATAAATGGCTGAGAAAGGTATGTAGAATTTCATGCAATTTGACCACCATGATTATTATGTATTTACTCATGTATTTAATACTTTTTTAAGAGAGCAAATAGATTTTCTCATCATTTTCTGCAATATTTGAATCTAAGTACAAAATGGAAATTTTGCAATAGTAAGTGATAGCATTAGCTGCAAAACACCATATTCCTCAGATGCATAATCTGAATGTAGAAATGCATCTACATGGAAGTTTGCACCAATTTCAGGAAGTCCATTTCATTGCTTAAGGGTTCTTTGTACGAACCTTGCAAAGGCTGTTCATGAAAAATAACATTTGTTATAGAAAATGGTGTTATACCGCATGTTCTCACTCATAGGTAGAAATTGAACAATGAGAAGGGGAACATCACACACCGGGGCCTGTTGTGGGGTGGGGAGAGGGGGGAGGGAAAGCATTAACAGATATACCTAATGTAAATGACGAGTTAATGGGTACAGCCCACCAACATGGCACATGTATACATATGTAACAAACCTGCACGTTGTGCACATGTACCCTAGAACTTAAAGTATAATTAAAAATTTAAAAAAAGAAAATGGTGTTATAGCAATTTTATAAAAATTGTAACATGCCTATGGATATTTTGTATCTCTAGGCTGATGGCATGATGAAGGCTCTAATCATTGGAAGGACACCTGCTCATCATAGAGAGATATTTGAAGAAGGCACAGGGCCTCTGATTAACTTTGAGAAATTTGTCTTGTATAATACAAGGGTTCCAGTGCTGTGGAGTTTTGCATATCAACATAACTTTATGAATTTATATGGTAGGATTATTTCTTATCCGCTGGAAAATACACAATCACAATGTTCATTCAGGGCCTGAACTAGAGAATATATGTATGTATGCTAGTGTTAGGGACAGAAGATATGGTTTCTTGGGCATTAACCCTATCTGTTAACCCTAACTGTTAACAGAAGTTGATAGACAAATATCTTCAATTAAAAGGCAAAAATTATGAGTGGATATAAAAGCCATCTCTATATGATGTTAGTAGAAGAGGCACATCGAATGTAAAGGCACAGTTATATTGCATGTAAAATGATAAAAGAGCATATTATACAAACAGTAAGCATAAAAAGACTGAAATGACTGTATTAACATTAGATAAAGTAGACTTGTAAGCAAAAAGTACTATCCAAGATAATTATTGATATAGTTGGATTTAATTTTACTATTTTTTGTTTTCTATTTCTACCCACTTCTTTCTCCCTCTTTTTCTCCTTTCCTGCCTTACTTAAATTAATTGGGGTTCTTTTTTGGGGAAAGGTGGAATGAAAAACATTCCATTTTAATGTATCTACGATCTTTGAACTGTATTTTTTTGCATAATATATTAGAGTTTGCTTTTTAAACATCATAGTTATTTGGAGTTCATAATGTATCACTTCAAGTAAAATATAGAAACTTTACAACCAGATATATCTATTTATTAGCCTAGCATCATTTTATAGTTGTCATACATATGACTATATATATGTGTTACATAGTACATATAACATTATATATAATATGTAGTGTGTGTGTATATACATATATACACACACAAATAACTATATATAATATGTATATACATTATATATAATATGTGTATGTATATATAATATGTATATATGTATATACACACACACACACACACACATATGGAGAGAGAGAGAGAGATTGTCCCAAAACACAGTCAACATCTTTTGCTGCTGCTGTTTTTATCCTTAGTACTGTTCTTCTTATTATTTATTTATTTTTTTGAGTGAAAATATTTCCCACATAGGAAATACCTGCACACTTAGGCAATGGGTGGGGACCACTTTGTCCATTCTTTATTGAATAAAGTCTCTGAGCTGCTTTATGCCTGAAACTCCACCCAACCTTGCCAAACAACAAAATGACAATACTCTCATTACATGAGGGAGTCAGAAATTCTGAACTTTGAAAATAAAATTGTGGAGATGCTGTTGAACAATATTGCTTGGAACTTAACTTCCTTTGGGGCATCTATAAGGGTATGTATTATTTCATGGTCTCATTGAATATGACGTCCCATTGAATATTCTTTTCCCATGGATAAAGAACTGAAAATAGACATTAGTGATATAAGAGCCCTATGAATTGCTGACATCATGGTAATTTAGATATAAAAATAGATTTAGTTGTTTTCAATGTATTGACTCATTGCAAAGTATAGATTTAATCAGGAAACATTTCTATAACTGGGAAATTATAAGCAAGGTCTTGTTCACTGTAAAGATTGTTGTATAAAAGGGAAGAAATACTGGATATAGTTCTATGTTTGCATTTATTTATTTATTAGAATAAATAAAGGCACAGAGACAAGAAATAGTGCAGATCCAAGAGTGGAAAATAGATTACTAAGTGAATATAGATGAATTTAAATGTACAGTTATAGGGAACATGGTCACAAAGGTAACACTGATGAATAACTGTAATGCTAAGAGGTTTAGTTCTTTTAAGAAAAATCAGCATATAAGTATGGGCCTTAAGGTTAAATTCAGTTGAGGGCTTTTCTTGCCTTTGGTACTGTGCCAATCAGGTTACGTTATGCTACAGTAACAACCCCCAGATTTCAGTGGCTGACAATTAAGATTTATTTCTAGAATATATTACATATCTGTATTTGGTTGGCTGCAAGTCTCTTCCATATCATTTCCTCTGTTTAGCCCTGGCTGATTGGGCAGGCTGCATTTTGAACATTGCCAGTTCTCATGGCAGAGCAAAATGGTGGCACATGCTGGCTCTTAAAAGTGTCTGCTCTGAAGGGACATACATTACTTCTGCTCATATTTCACCTGCCAAAGCAAGTCATGTGGTTGTGCCTGAGTTCTGCAGGGTGAGATGTGTACTTCTCTGTCACAAAGGAACACCTTAAGGAGAGACATTAAACATGAATAAACATAAAAAAACCACAAATATCTGTTAGCTGGACTGTAATTTAACATCTTTTATTCTGAAATGCAGTTTGTAATTTGTGAAAAAAATAACTAATACCAACATTGAGAATGGTTGTAAAGATTTATGCATGATGATATTCATATATCCTGGCACAAGAACTGACGCTCACAAATTGTAACCATGTTTGATTATTATGCTTTTACACTTATCAAAAGACATTCTTATAATGTAGCCACATACAGACGCAGCTCAAGATCTGTTATTCTTGTGAATGGTAGATAGCATTGTTGTGAAAACCAATGATGTTTCCAATGAAACTGCGCATTTTTGACAATTATATATTTTAAGTTTTCTGACACAACTTCTGTGCCTCAAATTAGAGCCTGTGGAGAGGAGGTTTATTTATTTATCAATTGATTCCTGTTTTAAAAATTTGAGAACAAATTCATTCCCTGATGAGAGAATTATGGGAAAAAATTGGAATATTTAGAATAGTAGTTAAGGGAAGTAAGCATGATCTTTCCCAAGGGTTGAATTTCATCACTCTTTGCCTGAGAAAAGGGTTCCCAAAAAGTCTAATTCAACAACAACAAAAAATCCACTAAAGCCTATGTTCCTAAGAGTCCCCCAAACCTAACTAAAGACCAATTACTAAACATACTTCAGCAAACATGGCCTAGAATATTTAGGGATTCACCTCAAACACAGATGGCCTGTGTTTGCCTGTTTTTATTACTGACTGGGAAGTCTTGCTATTATAGATGGTTTTACAGCTTATGTTAACTGGAATAAACATGTCTAGTTTATAATGACACAAAATACTGAAAATACCACTAACTCTTCTCCGAAGTAGAATTTTCTAACAAACTCTAATTAAACAAAATCCTAATGCTAGGGATTAGCTACAGCTCTCTATCAATCAGATTATTCTGGTTCAGTACTAGACATTCTGTGAAATTTACACAAGAATGTCCATAGATCATTCATAAAAGAGGAATAAATCTCTTGTCACAGCTATTTTGTAGCTGTATGAGGATAGAATATATTTGATCTAGATGGGGAAAATTATATACCTATGGGTTTTTAGTTATGAATAAGTCACATAACAATCTTTGGTACATCAATTTTTTGGCTACACAGTCATAACCTATTTTTTGTCATGTTTGGATTACTGAGTGAGAATTTTTTTTCTTTTGGTCCCTTTATATAAAGCAAGACTCACCACTATCCTGGACCAGTTACAAAGCATATTGAAACTTATCCTTTGGGTCTCAGTTTCAAAGCTATCTATGCAGAATAAATAAAACCATTACAGAAAGGTCTTTCAAAAAATACTATTTCTTACACAAAGATAATTCCATCTAGAATTCTCGATTATACACATCATGTGTATATGAGTGTGGCTGTGTGTGTGTTTATTTGTTTACTTTTCTTTTTACTACCTGTAAGCTTCTCAAGGACAGGAATTGTTGGTGATTTTAAGGGTACTGAGCTTGGCAACATCTATGATAAAGCAAGTCTCCTTGATTATTGTACAAAACTAGAAAACCATGGAGTTTTGGTTCCCTCTTCCCAGAGATATGTGATTATTTCTTGTTTCTCCTCACTTTTTTTTTTTTTTTTGAGACGGAGTCTCGCTCTGTTGCCCAGGCTGGAGGGCAGTGGCGCATCTCGGCTCACTGCAAGCTCCATCTCCCGGGTTCACGCCATTCTCCTGCCTCAGCCTCCTGAGTAGCTGGGACTACAGGCGCCCACCACCACGCCCGGCTAATTTTTTGTATTTTTTAGTGGAGACGGGGTTTCACCATGTTAGCCAGAATGGTCTTGATCTCATGACCGTGTGATCTGCCTGCCTCGGCCTCCCAAAGTGCTGGGATTACAGGCCTGAGCCACCATGCCTGGCCTGTTTCTCCCCACTTCTATCTCCACTTCCCAACCTGTATTTCTTAAAGTAACATGATATTCTATAACAAATTTAAAAATTGAAGATAGCTTACACTAACAGTAATTACACTTATTCAATATCAATTATGAGCCGATGTTATAGATTATGTCTTATTTTATTAATATTTCCTATTAAAGAGATCTGAATTCTGCTTTTAACTCAACCACTAATTACGTGCCAGACCTTGGAAAATTTTCCTTATTATTAATAACAGGTACTATGCATATGGTAAATGTAAACCACCATGCTATTTAGTCTATGTATATTGATGTGTTTAAACCTCACAACAATCATGTTAGGTCCTATTATTTATTTTCATTGTCCTAATAAAAATAAACCTGAGACTTATAAAAATTAAGTGTCTTGTCCAAGGTAATATAATCAAGATGTATCAGAACTGAAAACCAATGAGGCATCAAATCCATGTCCTTAATCTATATAATACGCAGCTTCATGAAATTTAGCATCTTCTTTGAAATGAAACCCAAAATGGTCTTTTTCAGCTCTTAAAAAGGGCATTATTTTAGAATGACTGTTGCAGGCATAAAGAACAATCTACTTGATTCATTTGAAAAGGAGAGATTAATAACTGGCACGAAACCAAACTCAAGAATTAGCATGATGTTCAGGATAACCAAATCCTCACTATAGCAAATCCTTCTTATTTAATACAATTGGGGTCAATTAATCTAACTAGCCTGTTAAAGCAGTTGTTAAAGAGTATTATAAAATATTATACATGTAGCTAAAAGGGACTTATCTTTAAATATATTTAAATATATATGTATATGTGTGTATACTATATATATATATATATATAAATTTACTAATATTTTACTATAGAGAAAAGGCCTTTTCATAGCTATGTAGTCTTTGGTTAGTAATTAGCATTGTCTTTCTTACATTAATTCTGATTATAATGTATATTCTACAGTTTCTAGACCCATATAATCTCAGTGAAAAATGCTGCATGATTTTTAGTTATGTATTCCTCAAACTTTAACAGTAGCCTCACCCACATATAACTTAGCAGCAGTTTTGTTTTAGCATCTTGTCTTTATCAAACCACTTCAAAGCAGCCTCCTTGATATTCATATAAGTAACAGCTCTTCTTCTTTGCCTTTGTGTTTTATTCTTTACTTACAAATACAAATGAGCCAACATTAACATATTAAATACCAGTTGGCTGAACAGAACACAGTGAACAGGAGGTATACAGAGTTGGCTAACAACTATGAGTCAGCAGTACATTTGATTCTCCGTATTTGTGTTTTACAGGGGAAAATGGAGAGCTTTCGGTAATCTAAGTATGAGTAAATGGAGGTCAGTCAAGGGTTGACCTGCAGGGGCTGCAGAAAGCTGCCTGAAGATACCATGATTCAGCCCATTCTTAATGGAGACAGAGATGTTGATGGAAGAACAGTGAGCACAGGAGGAAGTTGATAAACTAGTCTGAAAATGCTGCTATTTCAAATCTGTGTCTGCAGTTAAACATCCAAAAATTTGGTTGCATTTTTTTGTTTTAAAAATTTTAACTCAATCCTTACTAATGTATCCTTCATGTTTTAAATTTCATGCAAAAGGAAAGAAGAAACTAAGTGCATATAGCAAAATATTAATCACCTTTAAAAGAGAAACACTGAGAATAAAAAAAGCATCACATTTTAGGAAACACATGTTAAGTAATGATAGGCCTATGGCTTTTTCACTTGCCTACTAATGTATTACAGGCATCTTGCTATATTCTATGGGACACAGAATTAAATTGAATTAAATTTTATTACAGAAAGAGGCTTATTAGCTAATTACTCTCTCAGGCGGTTGCCAAAGTTAGAACCAGATATCTACCATACTTGCTCAAACACAAATAAAAATAACTTTTAGAAAAAGCTAATTATTAATGATACTCTTGATTAAAAACCTCTTTTCTTTTATACATGCTATTTAAAAATTGATAGCGAGGCAGGCAGATCACGAGGTCAGGAGATGAAAACCATCTTGGCTAACACAGTGAAACCCCGTCTCTACTAAAAATATAAAAAATTAGCTGGACATGGTGGCGGGTGCCTGTAGTCCCAGCTACTTGGGAGGCTGAGGCAGGAGAATGGGGTGAACCCAGGAGGTGGAGCTTGCAGTGAGCTGAGATTGTGTCGTGCCACTGCACTCCAGCCTGGGCAACAGAGCGAGACTCTGTCTCAAAAAAAAAAAAAAAAAATGTTGATAGCTTACGTTAAGCTTAATAGGCTCAATTGGAAATATTTTTCTATACTTTACATTGCCATTTACAAAAGCTGAAACAAACATGAGATCAATATTTCATATTGCTCAGTCTTCTCTTCATTTTCTGAAATCTCAGAAAATTTCAGGAATCTCAGAGGTCATAACTGTGTGCAGTTAAATCTGTTTACTGCAACCTCCTGTTCCGTTAAACATTTTTTTTTCTTTCAAATCTTGGGGTTAGGGAAAGAAAACACACAGGGACATAACGGGCACAGGTCTCTTGCTGGCTTCTGGCTGGCGACTATATTGTATACTCATTTAATCTCTTCTAAACTCCATCTTCACTAATCATTGATACACAGAAATGAGAAAAACTGTAACATAAGTGAAAAGTAGCACATGCATTCACATTGGGCTATTCCGGTGGTGAATAAAGAAAATTCCCTTGAATCAATTAGACTGTGATGAAAACTATGAGAATGGCATAGAACCTGAGTGGTAATTTATAATCATCTAATTCACAATGTCTTTTCTAAGTGTTCTAATAGTGATTGTGTTAGATAGAATAACGGTCCCCCAAAGATCTTCACGTCCTAATTCCCAGAACCTATGAATATGTTACATTGCTTGGCAAAGGGATTTAAGAGTGTAGTTGAAATTAAGGGTGGTAATCAGCTGATCTTAACATAAGATATCATCCTCAATTATTCAGATGGGCCCAATATATTCACTCACAATAGACTTTGATGAACCTTAAAGCTTTTTAATTATTTTTAATCCAATAGAACATCTTCCTTTTTTTGTAGTTGTTCTTGGCATTTTCCTCACCTATCTTTTATATTGTATTTATCTAAGTTATTTGCCAACTACTTAAAGAACTCCTATTGGGAATTAGCACTATGCTATTGGAGTACACAAACCATTCATTACAGCGTTATGTGCTAAAACAGCAACAAGCAAAGACAGCTAATACAGCCTTGGAGATTGTGATGTATGTATGTGATATCTTCCCCTCTTTCTTCCTGTACGTTCAGAGATTTGTGTTTGTGTGTTCAAAACGTGATCCTTGAAGAGTCATTAGAGTATGAGACACAAGTCCTGAAAGATCAAAAGAGTATATGAAGTGAAACAGGATGATAAATAAAAAAAGATTGTGCTGCTTGGGAAAAAAAGTATACATCATACAAAGTAAGTGGGGAAAATGTCATATGAAAAGGATTAGAGGATGAAGCATCCTGGGAATGGCAATTTGGCTGGAATCACTTGAATAATAGGTGGAGGTGGTAGAAGGCAAGTCAGAAAAGCAAAAATGTGAAGAGCATTATACGCCAAGTCAGAGAGTTTTGAACCTTACCCTAGGAGCAATATGAAGCTATTGCAATTTTAAATCTATGAGAGACTATGTTTGTCACTGAGAAGTCAGGAAGACAGAAACCACACTAGATATTTCAACATAGAGACTATAATAAAGGGAACTGGTTTTACAGGCGTTGGAGGCTGAATGAGCAATTGGGAACACTAAAGTAATTCAGGCATAGTAACTAATGCAATCCCGAGATAATAACTACAAGAAGCAGCTACCATCCATATGACTTTGGAAATATATAGAAGAGGTTAATTTGGATGTGTGTCCCCTCCAAATCTCATGTTGAAATGTGATTAGTGTTGGAGAAGGGGACTGACGGGAGGCGCTGAGAGCATGGGGACAGATCCCTCATAAAGAGCTGGTGCCTGAGGTGCAGTGTGGTAAGGAGTTCTCACTCTGTTAGTTCATGGAGATCTAGTTGTTAAAAAGAGTTTGGGGCTTCCCTCCCCCATCTCTCTCTCTCACTCCCTCTCTCACCACGTGACATGCTGGTCTCCCTTCACCTTCCTCCAGGATTGTGAGCTCCCTGAGGCCTCACTAGGAGCAGATGCTTCTTGTAAAACTGCAGAACCATAAGCCGAATAAACCTCTTTATAAATTAACCAGTCTTAGGTACTTATTTATAGCAATGCAAAATGGACTAATACAACTACATAAATTCAATGTGAGGAGGGGTGTTTGAATTTGAGCTCTGACTCTGAGGACAGGGTGCAGTCTAGCTGCTGCTGAACCTTTAAGTGGGCACAATGAACCTGGCATTAACATGTGGAAAGAAGCTGGAGGCTGCAAGAAGCTGACTAGCTCCTGCTAGGGCAGAGTATTGTTGCTGGGACATTGCTGGTACAGCAGATTCCTACCTTCCAGCCTTCCTCTTCCACCCCCTACTGGCAGAATTTAACAATAGGAAGCCAGTTGGCAAAGGAGATAAGATAGGCAGTTTGCAGTGCTAGACCCAGCATCAGTAGGCTGACACAGAAGGGTAGAGCTGGTGCTGAGAGGAAACAATAAATGGCGCGGTCCACTGCTTTGACCACTCAGCCTCCTAATGATATGCAATATGATACTTAAAGTCCCAACCATTATGGTGTCCATCTTGTCTCTGGGTGATGTTAATTTCTCCTTTAATTCTGTCATAATCCCAACTGTATAGTCCATAATATAAAGGCTAACATAAAGGCTATATATTTTTGTATATTAATTTATTTAAATGACATATATATATATATTCCTAACAATAAAACTCTATGCAGTTGTTATTATACTGAATTCTGTAGAATGGTAACCGGCCACAATTTATTAACACATTTCTTTACTCATCTCATATCCCCTAGGGCTTCAACAAGCTTCTCAGCTTGTCAGTATTCTTTATTCAAACTTATACTCCGCTGAGGCATGAATTCTTTGTGACTGTGTTAGGATTCTCCAGAGAAACAGAATCAATAGGATATACACAGGTATTAAAGATAAATTTATTTTGGGAACTGGCTCATGTGATTATAGAGGCCAGTAAGTTTCACTACATGGTTTCTGCATGCTGGAGAGCCAGGAACATCAGTGGTGTCATAATTCAGTCTTGAGTCTGAAGGCCTGAGCACCCAAGGCGAAAGACCTGAGAATAAGAATGTGGAGTATCACTGATATAAGAAGCCTCAGAGTCTAAAGGCCCAAGAACCTGGAGCTCTGATGTCCAGTGGCAGGAGAGGATGGATGCCCCAGCTTCAGATAAGAGAGCAAGTTTGCAGTTCCTCCACCTTTTTGTTCCACTGAAGCCCTCTAGGGATTGGATGATGCCTGCCCACATTGCTAAGGGGGAATCTTCTTTACTCAGTCTACTGATGCACATGATAATCTCTTCTGGAAATATCCTCCCAGACACACCCAGAAATAATGTTTTAACAGCCATCCGGAAATCCCTTAATGAAGGCAAGTTGACACATAAAATTAACCATTATGGTAACCTTTCTTTTCTTTTGATTGTTGTAATTTTCCATTTACTTTTACTATTGGACATGTGTTCCTGAGTCAGAAGCTATATTCTGAGTGATAGCATGATGGCAAGTCAGGCATTGTGTAAGTGCACAGATGTCAGTGCTGGCAGAAGATTTCAAACAGGGACAGGCAATCCAAATGCAGAATGCACAGTTCCAAGAGGTAAGATTGAGGGGTCTAATACAATCAACCTGCTACCAGGTGCCTGCCAAATAAAGGAATGGTACCATTCAGGGACTTTAACTCATTGGTTTTGATTAGGCACTTCGCAGCAGTGAGGTCAACCTTTGTAGGAAAATGACATGTTTAAAACTATGTCCAGTTCTCATGTTATGCCATGATGATGCCTAAGAAAGAGAATGACATCTGCATACATATCATCATGTCCAACTGATTATCAAGAATATCTTCTGCATGCAATTATTTCTCTTTAGGGACCTTGGGTCAAAAATACTTCCACGCTTTCTGTGCATTTCAAGAGGTCATCTGCACATCTCTTCCTCAGACCTCCTTGTTGTCAACCTTTCAAATCTGTTCTTTTCAAACTTTTGACCATCTAAACAAACCATTAGCCTTTGCCCTTAAACTAGTATAGATTCATATATATAAACACTTCTCAGTGGAGACAGAGGATAATGAAATATACTATTAGAAGTTCTGTCTCTGAGAGGGTTTCTTTTCATCTCATCACTCTCTTTCGAAAATACTCCTGATTGAGGCTATAATGCTGCAGCTGTCCACTTCCAGTTGGTGCCAAGAATCTGACTAGTCAGATTTATGGTTAATGAAGATCATTTTGGCACAGTGAAGGATGGATTGGGGGAGGCTGTTTTCACTTTCAACTTATGAGATAATGGAATCCTGAACCAAGGCAGTAGGAGTGAGGATTGAAAGGTGCATAAACAGCTGAAAATCTTGAAAATGAATTTCATACACATTTGAAATTCATCTGACTGCTACTTCTTACAGGATAGAGACTGTGTCAAATTTACCTTACAGCTTTCTTCCACTATAATTAATATGAAGTGCTTTGTATCTTGATCACTCAGGAAAATTCTTTCTTTAAATGGAATCTCCTTTTAGTTTCCCCTAACTCTTGGAGCAAAATTAGCCGTTAAAAAGGTTCACTGATGGACAAAGTAGTTTTTACTTTGTATCTGATATCTTACAATATACAAGGTTTGCCCTTAATCATTACTTTCCACAAAAATGCTCAAATTTAGCTAATCCATACATTTGATGATTGTGTAGCCTTTAACACTTGTCCAACCCATGGCCCATGGGCCACATGCAGCCCAGGACAGCTTTGAATGCAGTCCAATACAAATTCCTGAACTTTCTTAAACCATTATGAGACTTTTTTGCAATTTTTTTTAGCTCATGAGCTCTTGCTAGTGTTAGTATATTTTATGTGTGGCTCAAGACAATTCTTTCAATGTAGCCCAGGGAAGTCAAAAGATTGGACACTCCTGCTTTAACATATACGTTTAAAGAATTATTACGGACTGATTTGAAGTATAGATAAAGTGGGAGAGGCGCATATGAGCTATCTGTTGCACAGTAATGCTGTGTAACCTTCATAAAACTCAGTGTGACACACAACATCAACATGGATGGCACACACTGGGCTGATCAGATAGGGAACCTGGCTGACCTTAGATAAACTCACTCAAATATCTCAAGGTCAACCAGGGCAAATAGGGTAACTGGATTTGCTCTCTGTGTCTCTCATCTTCCAGAAGGACAGCCCAGAAAAGTTTTCACAGAGGTAAGAGGGGTGCAAGAGAGAGAGGAAGCTCAATTTTATATGCACTTTCCTGTCTTCTGATTGTATCACGTTTGCTAACATCCCAATGCAAGCCTCCAGTCAGAGCCTAGAATCAGAGCTAGAGGTGGGGAATTGCAAAGCTATCCATGGAAGGGCATGAATACAATGAAGAACCCAAAATTGAGACTTCTGCTATCTACCCCTAAGGGTTGCGGCCATGTATAAACATTTTATTTCTTATTTAGGAGACAGACCCTATAGCTGGGTACACTGACAAGGCCAGGGAAGCTGAAGTGTAGTTCAATTCATGATTTTGGAGAGAATAACCTGTGACTTCACACACGTATAGAAGTCGACAAATTGGGCTCTGAAGAGGTTGAAACTGTCATTGATTACAGGAAGAGTGCAAACCTACAGCTTCTCCATCTTATTTGAAGACCTGAGTCTAGAATTAGAAACAGATGAGACATTGCTAAGCAGAAAGGTTTTAAGCCCAGAAAGTTCCTACCTTAATTTTAATTTGGGTAAATATTCTGATTTCTATGTGTAACTTGGTTTTATGCTTTGTATTTATTCTTAAACTTACTAATCCTGTTTTGTTTAAATCATCCATCTTCCTCTGGTTACTTTAACGGAAGGGTATTTGTTCACATTTAGATGAGATAAAGTGTGGTGGTGGCAGCATATACTCAACTAGCGATCTGGGGACACGTAATACAATTGGAGTAGTTAAGAGTGACTTAGGGGAGAGTCTTGAATGCAATGTGCTTGCCAGTAAGAGTGTTTTCTTCTCAATTACTATCAGGTTTCATGAAAAATAATTAGTTCCTTTACTTAAACATTTTTGTAGTTTGTAGCCATAGAAAGTAATTATGAGAGCAATTACTCATGGAAAAGATAAGTGAATAGACTGGGTTGAAGAAAATATGATTCCATTTTGCCATGAAGCTATATATTAAACTTTTCCCACTGTGGAATGAGTTTATATTTTTTGATGATGACAATATTTTTGTAAGATCAATCTGGTATCTTTATGAAGGATATATTATTCAAATAGAACAGAGTTAGAAAGATGAAGATTTTTATAGCAATTCAGGAAGAAGATAGGTATCTGAACCAATGTGGTTATAGTGGAACAGGAAAAGATAGATATGGTAGACACTGCAAAAACAGAATCAATGAAAGTTAATAAACTCATAGTTCACACTCAAAGCTGAATCTGCAAATTATAATTGTGCAATTGTTGAAAGAGTTCCTCAAGGACTTTCAATAATAATTATAACTATTGAAGTGCAAGAGGTTTTAAGAGGCACAAAAATGTTTACTAACACTGGCTCATGAGTTGATTTTTCTGTTCTACCAAAATCTTCACTGAGTGCATTTAGTAAAACTTAATTATTTTCCAATATTTAATTCTTTATCAATAAAAAAGAAAAGTTTTAATTAGGTAATATAATCACCATAATAATTATAATGTTAGAAATACATAGCACCCCAACACTCTATATTATTTTTACATTCAAAATAATACTGTCTTGTGCTAGACCATGCCATACAGGAGAATTACCTTTCAATATAATAGACAAAGACAAAGGCATAAATGTTTTGACAATGTATTATGTGTTGAATACTTATATTCTAATGAAAGGCTTGATATGATAATTGCAAACCATACAATCCACCCATTGTTCCAAGGGAGAATTTAGCACTTAACTTCATTTTTATCTGAATTTGAGCTTTGACTTTCCTGAACATGAAATAAAAGATCTCTTTTTCTCTGATATAGGGAAAAGTTTGCAGAATGAATGTAAGATCTTAACAGACTGTAAGTAGCATTTGTAGCCAAAGTCCTAAAAAAGGAATGTAATTGTATGTTCATGCCTAGCCTTTGTTCCTTCTGTCACAATTGCCAGAAATAATCATGCTCACAATAAAATATAATTGGATAATTATGTTTTGCACATTTATAAAACCCTCATCAGTTTGTCTCAAAGATCAATGTGGTCCACAAAATATAAATTCCAGGTCATCATTTAAAATGTCAAGCTGCTAATTTTCTTTAGTGAGTAGAATAATTAGTTATACTGGATGCCAGATAGGAGTCTTCATTCTCTATAAACTACATCAAGAGATTACAGGATGCAAAATGCTTTCTCCTGGGAGCATGCCATGGAAACTAAAGGTGAAAACTGCAACTATTTTTTTCCGAGGAACATGTTTGAGAGCCAAAGCTCTTTTTTTAATCCCAAAGCCCTTTCCAAGTTATGAGACACAAAATGGAAAAACAAAACCACAGAAGGGAAAAATTATTATGCTTGTATGTTTTCATTTGTTTTTGCAATCTCTGTACTTTTTTTTTCTCGTGTGGTTATCACACCAAAAACATTTCAAGGGGAAAATAATATCTGTAAATAAAATTTTTCTATGAAATCTGTAATGTAAATGGCAAAGAACAGTTGTCAATACCAGTACCCACATGTACATGCTCTGCTCCCAACTACTTCTTACACTCAATCAGATTGTCCTGGGGCAAGAGAAAAAGAAAGGAGGCTATACAGGATTTTGCTCAGATGTTTTGCTTTGGAACAAGAAGAGGCAGTTTCCTGCATGAATAAATTCATTCATCAATAGCAATGAAACAGCAACAACCTGCCAGGCACTACATTGGGTGCTGGAGAATTATTAGTTAACTAGGGCCGCCATAATAAAGTACGAGAGACTGGCCGGCTTAAATAACAGAAATTTATTTTCTGACAGTCCTGAAGGTTAAAAGTCCAAGGTCAAGTTGCTGGCAGGGATGGTTTCTTCTCAGGTTCCTCAGGGAAGGATCTGTTCCAAGTCTCTGTCCCTGGCTTGCAGATGGCCACCCTCTTGCTGCCTTTTCCATACCCAGCCCTCTGTATATGTATATGCCTGATGTCTTTTTGTTGGTTTAATTTCCTCTTCTTATAAAGACACCAGTCAGATTAGATTAGGGGCCACCCTAATAGCTTCATTTTAGTTTAATCATCCCTTTAAAAGCCCTATCTCCAATCTAGTCACATTTGGAGGAACTCGGGGTTAGGACTTCAAAATACGAACGTAGGGGAGACCTATTTTAGCCCATATTAAGAGGCAAAAATACAGAAGTCCTATCTCTACCCCAAAGTCACAGAGAGAGGGACTTCAGTTGCTTATTCTGAATAAGAAATTAGGATAAAGAAACTCTGATATTCATATATATATATGTGTGTATATATGTGTGTATATATTTATATATACACACACACACAATGGAATACTACTCAGCCATAAAAAGGAATGAATTAACAGCATTTGCAATGGCCTGGATAAGATTAGAGACTATTATTCTAAGTGAAGTAACTCAGGAATGGAAAACCAAACATCATATGTTCTCACTGATATGTGGGAGCTAAACTATGAGGATGCAAAAGCATAAGAATGATACAATGGACTTTGAAGACTTGGGGGGAAGAGTGGGAAGGGGCAAGGGGTAAAAGACAACAATATGGTGCAGTGTATACTGCTCGGGTGATGGGTGCACCAGGTTCTCACAAATCTCCACTAAAGAACTTACTCATGCAACCAAATACCACCTGTACCCCAATAACTTATGGAAAAGTAAAATTTTAAAAAAGAATTGGGAAAGTAGATGCAA
Source organism: Homo sapiens (assembly GCF_000001405.40). NCBI lineage: Eukaryota > Metazoa > Chordata > Mammalia > Primates > Hominidae > Homo > Homo sapiens. The sequence continues at coordinate 104,524,766 of NC_000011.10, read as the reverse complement.
AATGCTTATATAAGTTTGCAGCATATAATACATGCTTAAAAAATTAGACAATTACATTCTGACTAAAAAATTAGAGAATACTTTTAGACTATACCAGTAGGGAGCTCATGTTCTCACCAGAAATGACAAGCATAAGAATGTTTGTTAAATAAAAATAAGTTTGAGTTAAATGAAATCACTCTGAGGACAACAATCTGTTTTAATTATATTTTCTTTTTCTATTACCATCAGCTCCAAAGTCTGTTGCCTGGTGACTGGACAGAAGCTGGAATGTCCTGGCAGATCTATTGTGGCAAGAATGTGCAAATCCCCTCTACATGGCATTTTGCACAAGATTTGATGAGAAAATATGGGGAATTGCTCACTGGGGATGCTATGTTTTGTTTGTCTGTTCCATGCAAGCTCCATTTAGAGGCCTTTAAGAACTCTAAGACTAGGGTCCAAAGCAAATAATTATAGCACTAAACAATCCACCCCTCAAAACATATATTTTCCTCTAATGTTTTTGCTTATTTATGATGTTTCACATAAGATGATCACATCACATCAATTATGATGAAAACCTTTGATTGGGGGGCTTTGGAGGAATTCCTCAGAAGATCAATCTTTTAAATAAAAATAAAGAAAAAAATAAAAATAAAAATAAAGAAATCTATACATATAAATATGCCAGTCTCAGGTATTAATGCATTGAAATAATGGCTATTTCTTTATTTATATAGACCCTGTTATATTATTTAGTGTTATCTTGGTGCTTTTATTCAAACAAATTCTTTGGTTCTCTAACTATTAATGATTCTAGAAGTTATATGATCCATTCTATCCCCCAGCTTCAAATTATCTTGTTATAACATTCAGCAACTAATTTCCACTTTTGCAATCATACTTTTTCGACTCCCATCCTGCCTAGCAGAGAAATGTGGGAAGGAGTATGAGGATGCTGTGTTCCAGGGGATGCTAATTTCCTGGCTTGGTTTTGCCACCTGCTACCTAAATGTAACCTTTCTGAGGCTCAGTTGTCATTTGTATAATTGGGTATAATAACACTTCACAGAGTCATAAGGCTAAAAGATTTGGTACTTTGGAAATTGCTTTGTAAAATTCTGTGAAAGTAAAAGGATTATTAAGGCTCTTCCTGTCAATCCCAGTCTAATGGCTATGTCTGTTACTTCATTTTTGGTGATATTGTCTTAATATTGAAAGTCAATTATTATTAAATCAGTGTAAGGAAGAAACTTTATAAAATGAAGATATGGATTTCATGTTCAGGAAAGTTTAAAAATTGCCATTGCTTACTCCCTACCCCCGAATATGCTCTAGTCAAAACTGTAAAATGATTTTTTTACTCCCTGTTAGGAAGAATCATCTTTAGAAATAATCATCTTTAGGAAGAATGATTTTTCCTAAAGGAAACCGAAGTTCATTTTTGATCAGGAATAGGGTGGTATCTGTACATATGCAAACAAATGCTATATTTCTTTGTGATCCAAAGGATTTACAATCTAATGGTCAGTAGAGCAGATTTTTAAAGTTTGCGTGAAGTGTCTATCCACCTAGTGCGTAGTGAGCTGTAGGACATGGGTGAAATATATTTCATCTCCCTGTACACATTAAAGTGGACATTCACAATGTGTATCAAGGTGCTATAGAGAACTGCTGTTGCCTCTTGCTTCTTTCCTGTTTCTTTTCTATGATGTATTAAACAGGAAAGCTAAATGCTGCAGCTATTGATAATTATGTTTGACTGTAGTAGCATTCCCTGATGCTAGCTGGTAGCTAACCTGGTGCTCAGCCAAATGTGTCATCATATTATCTGTGCATCAGGATCAAGGTCAGCAGCATATTGCAGATAACCTCTTATATGGGCTAATGTTTATCAACTGACTTTGGAAACCATAACCAAGCTGTCCTTCATTAAGTGTGCTGTCCTTCATTAAGTGTTCTGTCCTTAAGAAGTGCAGCATAAAATGGGTTGAACAGAACTAGATCTCTTACATAACCTGCTTGTTTTCACTGAAGGTTGGCAACAAGTCAAAAAAGGCATCTGGCAAGTTCACATGCAGTTCAGCTTGATTACTAACAGTAAGATATGAGGTATATGATGTTATCCAATGATACCATCCCCTAAAAGAGATACTCGTACAAACTTAAGTTTAGCATAAAATTCCAAATAATCTTCCTATTAAAATCTTTGAATATTTGAATAATATGATTAATATGAATATTCATGACAAAATGGAATATTGGGCTTATAAGTTTCAGTCATCCAACCACTTGGTAATTTGTCATATTTTTCTGATATCAATTTGCTTATCTGAGGATAAAAATCTACAATAGAATACAAAGTGGCATGCCCAATTTGTTGCTGTACAATAACTGGACTACTGTGAGTACACTGAGTAAAGCTGAAGAACAGGAGCCCAGCTAGGGAGAAACACCAGGCAGCCGCCTGAAATCAACTCTCCTTGCCATTGAGGGCTGTGTACAGTAATCTAGGCCTCAGCTCCTAACAGATTAGGATCAGCTATTTATTTAAGAAGAATCTCTTAGGGGCATGTACACTTCCTCATAAGATCTCACTTTTCCAGGCACCACATTTAGATCCTTGTATCGTGTAGGATATTTAGGAAGTCATTGCTTTTGTGGGTGGCAAATCATAGAAAACATGCTGTCATAAATAAAACAGAAATTATCCAATGGTACATGAATCTCAAATATTCATCTAAATAATGCTACTTAAGAAGACCATAGTAAAAATAATGCTAATCACACTTCTTGATATTTACCAAACTTTATAGTGTATGATATTCTCAAATTCTTTATTTCATGTTTGAAACAAAGGAAATGCTAGCTTAGAAAATAGCCTGCTATTTTCATGAACCGGAATTTTCCAAATTCTTTCAATTTGTTACTAATACTAAAAGTGTTCTTATAAATAGGCAATTAATATGTATTCATTTATGTATTGCCTTTTAAATTCATTTTATTTTGAGACAGGATCACACTCTGTTGCCCAGGCTGAAGTGCCATGGGTGATACCACCTCCATCTCTCAGGCTGAGACAATCCTCCTGACTCAGCCTCCCAAGTAGCTGAGACTACAGGAACATACAGCAGTGCCTGACTAACTTTATTTATTTATTTTTTGTCCCTACAAAAAATTAGGGCCTCGCTATATTGCCCACGATAGTCTTGAGCTCCTGGGCTCAAGCAATCCTCCTGCCTCAGCCTCTCGAAGTGGTAGGATTACAGGCATGAGCCACCACACTTGGCCAAAATATTTATGACTGTTTGATAGTTAAGAGCTTCTTCTACAGGTATTTTCCCTCATGTATTTGTGCATAAGGGGATGTGAATGTGATAATAATTTAAAATATAAACTATAGCCAATATATACTGAACATTGAACATGTCTTACATGCCATGCATTATTCTAACGGCTTTATTTATTATATTAATTCATTTAAATATATTATATATTTAATTTAAATTTCTATGAGTTAGCTAAATTATGTGCAAAATAAACTGCTTAGATAACCTCTTTGCTGTCTCCTTTATCTAATATTCTATTATTCTAAACACATTTATATTGAACTATGTATACATATATGTATATGTTCATGCTTGCACATCAGGTTAAATTAACTATTGCCTTAGTTATAGTCTTCAAGTATTTAAAATTTATGAAAGTTTATGCTTAAAAGTGCTATGTGCCAAAATTTGCAGTAGTTTCTTTATAGAAATAAAATGAACATCTTTCTCAAAAGAGGATTATAATCTAGATAGGAAGAGAAAACACAAACACTCCCAGAATTAATCATTTAAAAGAGTAAGTATGTTGTCATAATCTCAAAAGTATCACTACTGTTAGAGCCATGTGAGGATACAGAGCAAAAATGGCCACTGATCTGTAATACATTTATATCTCATCAATAGAAAACTATATTAGTTGGCATTTTTTTTAACACATTGCTGCCTTTACCTGACTTGCTATCAGGATCCGTCTCTATTTTCCAAGTTGAATTTAGGGTTTGGCTTTGATATTTGCAAGCAGCATGTTGATAATTTCAATATTATATCAATGACCCTTTGCAATTCTTGACTTCTTTGATTTAACTGGTCATTTTTATGTCCTTATTTCCGTATCTGTAGAATTACATTCAGGATCTTGTTATCCAATAATATTATGCAAGTTTCGAGATCTTAAATTTGTTGTAAATGTCTCATATTACATCTTTATCAACCACATCTTCCATAAGCTCTTACCCACTCAACTCTTAAAATATGGGACACTTCACCTATACAAATATATCTCCATTTTATATGTCCTCCTATGTTACATTTCCATTTTCTAGCAGCATACTGGATATTTCTACTTAGGTGATCTGTGGCCCTTTCATATGTCTAAAAGAAAATTCATTCTCTTCCCTCTGAAAAAGCAGATTCATTTCAAAATTAATATTCTGAAAATTCTCATGCAATTCTCATACTCAAAAACAATTGCTGGTTTACCATTTCCTTCATAATAACTCTTGCATCTTTACCATCGTCTAAATTTCAACACCATTATCTGAGTTCAATATCACTTTGTCTGACTTATTGCATTAACATTCTAATTGGTCTCTAGTCTCTCCCTCTGCAATCTATTCGTCACTTTGTTGCCAGTTTAATTTTCTTAATATAGTTTTCCACTGCAGAATACCTTCAGTGACCTTCTATTCTAGCCAGACTGATTTATTCACTGTATCTTCATCATACCATGCTCTTTGTCTATATGTATATCATTAGTTACATCATTTCACTCTCCTGAAATGTCCTTTCCTTTCCTCTCCTGTTCACCTATTTGCATTTTACTTGTCTTTTAGATCCTAGCTGAGATCTGTTTCCTCCAGAAGATTTCTATAGTCACAGCAAACTTCCTAAACATTCTCTTATTTAATTAATGTATTCTTTGTGGTGTTATTATGTAAGTTTTACACCCATTAGGGCAGAGCAGTTGAGGGTTCTGACTTCTGTTGAGCATCACTTAGTGAATGTTATAGCTCTAAATCAAACCAAGAACATTTCATTTTCATTATTCATGTTCAATGAATTGATGTGGTGCTGAGATAGGCATTACCATCTCTTATGAAATGAATTTTTTCTTTCCAAAATTTGTATGTTGAAGTGTTAACCACCAATATCTGAGGATGTGACTGCATTTGGAAAAACAGTCTTTAAACAGGTAATTAAGGTAAAATGAGGTCATATGGTTATTCCTTAATGCACTCTGACTGGTGTCCTTATGAGAAGAGGAGTTTAGCACATAGACAACAAACAATGGACTGATGAGCAAGAATGTGAGGTCAGAATGAGACAAGGTGGCAATTTGCAAGACAAGGTGGCCATATTCAAGACAAGGAGAGAGACCTCAGGAGAAACCAAATCTGCTGATACTTTGCTTTTGGACTTCCAGCCTCCAGAACTTGAGGAAATACATTTCTGCTATTTAAGCCATACAGTCTGTAGTATTTATTATGGTAGCCCTGGGAAACTAATACACCTTGAATAATTCTTTGTATTAGATATTTATTTCAGGCTCTATACATTTTTCATAGAAATAAATGTCAACATGACAACATATTCAACTAAATACTAAAGGTAAGAAAATAGCATCAAAATTGGAGGGCACAGATAATGCCTTTTTTTTTTTTCTTTTTTTGATACAAAGTCTCACTCTTGTCCCCTAGGCTAGAGTGCAATGGTGCCATCTCGGCTGACCGCAACTTCCGCCTCCCAGGTTCAAGTGATTCTCCTGCCTCAGCCTCCCGAGTAGCTGGGATTACAGGCGCCTGCCACCATGCCCTGCTGATTTTTGTATTTTTAGTAGACATGGGCTTTCACCACATGGCCAGGCTGGTCTCAAACTCCTGACCTCAGGTGATCCACCCACCTCGGTTTCCCAAAGTGCTGGGATTACAGGCGTGAGCCACCGTGCCCGGCCACATCATGCTTTTTTAAACAATGTCTAAATGATTCAAAAAAGCTAAACCTTGCATCCAAAGAAGACTCTAAAAATCAGCCTCTAAACTGAAATAAAAATGTATTTACTAATTTAAATTCACTTCATTAAATTTTTCTTGGTGGTATTATAATTAATATCAAGCTTCCCCTTAGAAGCAATAATTAAGTTACCTCAATCTTTTATATTCCTTTGAATTTAAATGCTCCTAAACTGCCAAAAATGCTAGCAATAATGTGATACCCCTTTCCTGGGCTTATTCAAAATCTAGACTAGACAGAATAGAAATTGTTTGACTGATTGTCTACTTTCTTCTCGTAATAAATAGTGATTTTCCTAGTCATTGTGTAGATTAGCAACGTGCATAGATATTTTTCTTCCCAAGGTTACAACTAGTACTCTGAGGATTTCAAAGTGTCAAGACTAATTTAAGCAAAAGCAAAACATACCAGCTATTGCGGTTGACACACAATCAGTATAAGCAATACCTGGAGACACCAACATGTAGCAATTTTAAATATAAAGTCTTAAAACTCATTGAACTTCAATTTATCTTATTTCTGTCAAAGTTATTATTTTTATGACTAAATTTTATAAATATTTTGGATTATAAATATAACTTTAAAATTATAATCCTATAATGGGTCTTTACTTTGATGACACTATAAAAATATTAAACAGGAGCTGATTTCTGCTTTGCTCTGCTTATGTTTGTGCCTTCTCATCCTCATTCTTACAAGAAGAGACCTATAAGGATTCCAAAGTGTTACAGGTTAGATGATTTAAGAAGGATGCTCTGAGGTGGATATTTGTATGCAGGAAGTTTATTGAATGGACACCTGTGGGGCAGTAAAAAAAAAAAGGAGTAGGAAGCAGGAGTAGGAGTTCAAACAAGATGTAGTCACAGCAGTGGCCTCAGAGGAACCCATGGAAAGCTATAGAAGGCCCTGCAGAGTCCTTTCAAACCAAGGGTAGAGGGCTGGACCTCTACCCCGACTATGGCCAGATGTTGGATGTGCACTGCCCAAGGAAGAAAGCAGGGCTTTGGGTGAGGTGACTCTCTTCAGCAGATGGTCATTCTGGAGGAGGACTCTGCTGAGACCTGTCACCTGCCAAAATTTCCAGTAACTGAGCAAATGAAGGTCTTGGTCTTGAAGGTGAGAGATGGTTACAGACCACAGCCGCCACTATAGAAAGATATGAATTCAACTGTATATATATTGCTCAAGTAGTATCAGGTAAACAATTGTAACCTTTGTGAGCCTCAACTTCCTTATTTGTTACTGGGATTATTAATATCTTTCAGTCTTTCTCGCAATAATTTTGTTAGGATCACTGGATCCAATGTGAGTAAAAATGCTTAGGGACATAAAGGGTCCAGACAGAAATATATGTTAGAAATCATCATTTAGGTTCATTCCTTCATTGCATAGCTAAGGATACTGAAGCTTAATTGGACTCATATATTACTCCAAACCTGATACAGTTCTAGCTAGAATTTTATACTAATTACCTATGAAATTATCACCATGACCCTATGAGGAAACAGACACACAAGGTGTCATGTAATTTGACCAAAGTTACATAAATGGGGGCAGGAGACAACACTGATGATATCTGGTCCCAGTGACTGTTCTTGACCCACTCTATTATACTGCTTCTGGTAAGACAGAAGTTACCAGTAGTCAGGTCCACAACTTTCGGTCATGTAGTTTTTTTAACCTATTCTTGGAGGCCATGGTAGACTGCAAAGCAAAGATAGCAAGCAAATTGGCAACTATGGGGAAGAACGCACTCTGGTATATTTGTTTGGCTGTTTGTTGTTTTTGTTTTGCTGTTCTGTTTTTTATTTGCTTGCTTTAATTTTTACAATGTAATGTGGCTAAAGAGGAATTTTGTTTAGTAACTTATCCAAAGTTTAGTACCTTTAACCTTATACCAGTTGACTTCATGCATTCATATTCCTGGCTTAGACTGTTTAGGCACTTGGGTTTGAAGCCCATAGCTATCCACATGTAGATGATGATGAAGAGGAGGAGGAGAAGGATGATGACAATAATGTTGAAGGAGAAATAGCAGGAGGGTGAGGAAGAGAAGGAGAAAGATGAGGGAGAGAAAAGGAGAAGAGGAAAAAATAATAAAGAAAAAGAAGATGGAGAAAGGGACATAAGGACCAAGAATAAGTTATTATTCATAATAATATAAAGAATAGTTAGCACCTATTCGAATATAGTCTTTCATTATTGATTCTTCTATTGGTCTTCTCTAAGAAATCTCACCTGATATACAATTTTAGAGAAAAATCACTATTTTTCTCCAGATAGATATATAATAATCTGCTTAAATGAATTAATGCTCCTACACAGCCTGACTAATACAAATAGATATGGAGTATGGGATATATAAAGAGAGAAGGGTAGGAGAGGCATTTTACAAATTATTAAATTATAAATATGTTTATTTAACATTTAATCAAGAAAGTGATATCTATGAAAATAAAAATATCTTATTTATTTATATATTTATTTATTTTCTGAATCAGGGTCTCACTCTGTCACCCAGGCTGAAGTGCAGTGGCATGATCATGGTTCATCGAAGCCTTGACCTCCCGAGCTCAAGCGATCCTCCCACCTCAGCTTCCCAAGTAGCTGGGACAACAGGTTTAGGTCACCACATCCGGCAATTTTTTTTATTGAGGCAAGGTTTTGCTATGTTGCCAACGCTGGTCTCAAACTCCTGAGCTCAGGTGGTCTAGCCTCCTTGGCCTCCCAACGTGCTAGGATTACAGACATGAGCCACAGCACTTGGCCCCTTATTTTTTAATAGTTACTTCTAACAAAAATAGATTATTTTCATGAAGATAAAAATTGGAATATTTTGAAAAATGTGTTTTTATTGAGCATCTACATTCTGATAGGTGTCATATTTTACAATGAGAATATAAACATAAAAGACAGACACTTTCAATCATGTAATAAGTGCTAGAAGCAACTAAAAAAGATGGTGTAATTAGCACATGATTAAGAAATTCAGACTGAGCTGATCAGGGAAGCCTTCCTGAAGGAGATGAAATCTGAACTACTTTTTGAATAAATATTAATCAGTAATCAGCTGAAAAAAGGAAAGGGCATGTTATGGATTAGGAAAAGCATTTAGAGCCATAAAGGAACATGAAAAATATAAATACCTTATATAGACATAAGTACATCTGGAATTTCTAACAGAAAGGCTTGGAGCTGCCAGGAGCCATCAAGCCACAAGAGTAAGTGGAAATGAAGTCTGAACAAAGGAGATTAGACCTGAAAGGCAGAGAGGGGCCAATCTCTGTTGGTTCTAACATTAACTCTAACTAGTTATGCCCAAATCGAGTATTCATTATTTTTGAGACACTTCATTGCCAGGTTCTATACATTCTTTTTATTGCTTAAGGCAATGAGAAGCAGGTTGTGCTTGCAACAAAGAACCTTGCCTAATAAAAGTTATTTTGAAGGCTGGGCACCATGGCTCATGCCTATACTCTCAGCACTTTGGGGGGCTTAGGCAGGAGGATTGCTTGAGTCCAGGAGTTTGAGACCACCTTTTCAACATAGCAAGACTCCATCCCTACAAAAATCAAAATTAACAAGGTCTCAGGTTGCAGCATGTCATTCTAACTACTATGGAGGCTAAGACTGGAGGATTACTTGGGCCTAAGAGTTTGAGGCTGCAATAAGCTGTGATTACTCTACTATAGCTCCTGTCTCATCAGACTCTGTCTCAAAAATAAAGTTATTTTCTTGCATTTGATCTGAAGAACTTTTGGGGATACATGCCTTATTCTTATGTATGACAGCCAGAACAGCAACTCGTACATTTTGAACATACATCGCATAACTTACACACGCACACATGCACACACACACACACACACACATTAACCTGAAGACCTACATTATCAGAATTGGCCAGAGGAGCCATTATCAAAGCTGAAAAAAAAATGCAAAGGAAAGAAGAAGAAACAAAATCCAAAAAGAAATGATAATGGAAAACTTCAATTTCTTTTAACCTAGGTACACGGTTAATGTACCCTAATCTATGATCAAGGCTGATTTTTTTAAATTCTGCCAAAATGTTGCCATTTACACTCACAAAGTCCTCATTTCTAAAGCTAATTACATGATTTTAAGTATTTTGTTCTCTGATGTATCTCATGTAATTTTCCAAATGATAGCCTATTTGACAAGAGGAAAGTTTACTGCTGTGTGGGCCCAGACAAAAGTATAACACTAGTTTCAACAATCTGTTTGTCTGTCCAGTGAAATATGTGATGAGGTATTTATGTTGATAAAGAACAGGAAACAATTAGGCTTTGAGTTCCTAATGAATCAGTGAAAGATATTCTATCTAGTTGATTCAAATTTGGGCATGCTGGGAAACATTATTTTAAGTAAGATCATTGTACCAGGAAGTTTTCAATTATTCTAACCTCCTATTATTTATTGAAAATAGTTTTACTTTCTGTACTTCTACCAAAAATGCAATTGTGTACTGAAAATAATATAGTTTTAGATCAGGTTAGAAGCCTCTTTTTGTGTGTGCTATTCAAGAGTAACAAGTCACATGAACAAATTGTTCATATTTTCTCCCCTTTTTCTTTTTCATTTTCCCCTTTAGTTTATCAAAAGTCAAGTAATACAAAGTTTAGAATTTGGAGGTAAGATGACACCATAAGCAAGTATTTCCTTTCCTGTCTTCTAATTCTCATGAAAATGTTCAACAGAAAACCATTTTCATTGTCATCATCATTGCTCTTCCTTTTGTACTATGCATTGTGCTAAATGCATTTATATACATTAGCTTAAAACAACCAGATGTGATAGATAATATTCTACCCTTATTTTATAGGACAAAACTCAAGCTTAAATAAATTTAATAATTTACCTAAGGCAAATGGTATGGTTTGGCTGCGTCCACACCCAAATCTCATCCTGAATTGTAGCTCCCATTATCCCCAGGTGTCATGGGAGGGACCCAGTGGGAGGTAACTGAATTATGGGGGCAGGTTTTCCCATGCTGTTCTCTTGATAGTGAATAAGTCTCATGAGATCTGATGGTTTTATAAAGGGTAGTTCCCACGCACACTCTCTCTTGCCTGACGTCACGTAAGATGCGACTTTGCTCTTCACTCACCTTCCGCCATGATTGTTAAGGCCTCCCGAGCCATGTGAAACTGAGTCCATTAAACCTCTTTTTCTTTATAAATTATCCAGTCTTGGGTATGTCTTTATTAGCATGAGAACAGACTAATATAGCAACACAGCTAGTAAGTGGTAGAGTCATTTCAAACTCAATTCTGTTTTTCTCCACAGCCTAGCTATTTTAAGCTATTATATTACAGGTGTTTCTAAATCAACTTTTCTTTAAGTTCCAGGGCACATATGTAGGAGGTGCAGGTTTGTTACATCGGTAAATGTGTGCCATAGTGGTTTGTTGCACAGACAAACCCATCACCTAGCTATTAAGCCCAGTAAAATTTGTTTTAAAAAATGAGAAATGTGACATTCACATGTAAGAAACTGATGCTATGTGTAATTCAGATAAGGCTTAATTTAAGGCATGGAGAATTATTTCAACTTTCACTAATCTGTTAACCCCATAACTCAGGTTGATTAGGTAAGACCATGGAGGTGACAGAAAAAAGAAAGCCAGCATAGGCAACTTCCTTCTTGTCTTGGTTATTACATCCAGCAGAAGCTTGCAGAACAACAAACAAAAAGCTACCACATCTGATTATTTTTCTTCAAGAAGTCAAATCTATGCCCTCTCCCCATTCCTCATTCACACATTTATCTTACATATAAGTAAAAAGATATTACAGAACTTTTTTACTCATTTAAAAAAATAGTCTTATTTACGGTCTTAATTGAGTTGAAAACCATATTTACCCAACTCTGCCTTAAAAATCTTAAAAATATAAACTATACATTTCCTACTGTAGTAGTCAACTAGGGACAAAATAATGCTATATAATAAAGAAAACACCACAAAATTAAGTAAAATAATAATGAGCATGTATTATCCCCTTCATAAGTCTAAAGGTTGCTGTGGGTCTGCTGTTTAGCTGGGCTGGCTTTGCTTCACATATCTCATTCTGGGGCTCAGCTCGAGAGACAGCAGATCTAGGCACATTTTTTCATGTAGGAGGTCACATGCTGCCGGGGGCAAGCTGAAACACATGACACCTCTTAAAGTCAAAGCTCAGAATTTCTACCCTGTCGATTCTGCATTCCATTAGCCAGGAAAGTCACATAGCTAAACCTGAAATAAATCAATGAGGCAGAAATGTATATTTGTCTCACAGCTGAAGGACAGGGCAGTAAATATTTGATGACCAATAATCTAAGCTATCACATCCAGTGATTTAAAAATAAAATAAAATAAATAAACATTTTCTCCAGCTTCTTAAATCACCCTCTTCTTTCTTGGTCCCACATCTCTAGTCATGCTAGTATAGTATCTTGCCTGGAATTCCTTTAACCTCTTTTTCTGCCTAGAAATTCCTGTTCCTCTACTTCAAGACCATGCAGTAGTGAGGTGCAGTGGCTCTTACCTGTAATCCCAGCAATTTGGAAGGCAGAGGTAAGAGAATACTTGAGGCCAGGAGTTCAAGACAAGCCTGGGCAACATAGTGAGACCCCATCTCTGCAAAAAATGAAATGTAGCTGGAGTGGTGGCATGTGTCTGTGGAACCAGCTAGCTATTCAGGAGGCTGAGGCTGGAGGATCATTTGAGCCCCAGAGCAGAGGCTAAAGTGAACCGTGATTATGTGGCTGCACTCTCTAGCCTGAGCAACAGAGCTGTCTCAAAGAAAAAAAAAAGATGATGCTAAAATGTTACCTCTTCTGTGAAGCCTTTTTAGCCACCTAACAAGTTGCATGTGTTAATCAACATATATGTGTATTGCTATTAAAGGAGACATGCACACACAGATGCACCTTTCAAGTATTTAAGCCAGGTTTCCCTCTCTCCCTACCTCCTTCCCTCCTACCTTCTTCCCTCCCTCCCTCCCTCCCTTCCTTCCTTTTCTCTCTTTATCCCTTTTCTCCGTCTCCCTCCTTTCTCTGTTTTTATCTTTTTCCCTTTCCATCTTCCTTCTCCTCTCCCCTCTTCTCTTTTTTCTTTCTTTCTGATCTTTAATAACCTGTGGTAGACATTGATACTAGTCACTCATGTATATATCTGGTTCTCTTCATTCTAGGAACATGGTAGAACTATAATTAATTACCTGTCCCAGGAAGTTAAGCATAGCCATGTGACTTGTTTTACCCAATGAAACATGTGCAAAGATAAATGCATCTTCCAGGCAGAGTACTTTAAGAGGTGGAGCACAATTATTTATCTTCCTGTATAGCAGTAATCAACAACAAATACAGATGATAGCCTTCCCTTACTCGAGGTCCCCAGATGAGGACAGCATGGACCAGAATTCCCCAGTGACTTCCAGCATACCCATAGCATGAGCGAAAAGTACGCGTCTATCTTAAAACACGGAAATATTGGATCATTATCATAGCACAAACTAGACTATCTTAACTGATACAGACCCTTCTTTAAAGCTATGTTTCAATCGAAAGGTCTCAAGATGTTATAGGGAGTCTATTTCCACAAGAATACTGGTAAACCCTAGTGTTCATATAGCACTGCAATTATATAAAATATAGTTTGAAACACATAAATCGGAAGACCTTTGAGGAAAAAAAAATTTTAAATTATTGAATTCATGTAATTATTCATATGTAAAAGTGGATACAAAATATGACCCACTCAAAATTAGATCAAATTTTAAGTGAATTAATCATTAAAAAAATCAGTTACCATATTCACATCAAAAAAATGTTTTTAGATAACTAGTTTAGATAAATTAGTTTGTAAGTCAGCTGAGTTTAGGTGACGTGCCCTATTATTCTCATTTCTTGTTAATACCCTTATACCCTGTATGAGAAGCAGATAAACAACTTAACAATCAGTTAAAGGACTTCAGAAACTCATCTGTCCTGAAGGTTGTGAGTAAATCCAGTGTTACAGCTATTTTGAAATGGTCTAGAGCTGGTAATCTCCAGATGCATTATTAAACAAACCAAATATTCCAAGTAGTACAAAGTCCATACTGGCATACAGAATATTTAGCTGCTACTTGTTTAAGTAGAATGCCTGTAGATTTCATATGTGTATATGATTTCCTCTAACAGAATACCAGAAGGAGCAATAAAAGACAGTATGTGTTGAACTAAATGTATGAACAGGAAAAAAAAGACTCAAGAACACAATTCTATATCTGGAGAATAGATGCAGTGTCACATAAACTGCAAAGGCTTCAAAAGCCAAAATACCAAAATATATCTGCAAGGTTATTGGAGGTTAATTTGCATAACTGGGCATACCGCCCTGGCGTGCAGTGATTTCAGTAACTTTCCTTCAGAAAAACACCTGCAGATGCTTGCCTGGAGGCAGAACTATGGTTTTAAAGGATACTGCCTCTTCTCTATTCTTAAGTATTAGTAGTAGGATAATGTATGGGTCTTTTAGTTGCATGGAAAAATTACTTTTGCTTGAACACAGAAAAACAGTAAATCAAGAAATACCTCTCAGAACTTACAATTACTCTATTTTTATTTCTTAAAGAACAAGAATGTGAATAAAATCATTATCTCTAGTTGAATTACCTGAGATAATATGTGGAACCATCGAGTACCATGCTTGGCATTCACAGATATTTCCAACAGATTGTAAATAATTTTGTTAAGTACTATTTGTTTCTACATGTTTGTTTATTTTTTATCATTAGATTGAAAACTTTTGGAGTAAGCAAGTGCATCTGAATGACTTTTTTCTGAGGGAGCTGACATAGTAACGCAGTAAGCGTTTGGTTAAACGAATAAGAATGTAAGACAATAAATAAATAAATCCATTAGTTTATGGCTTAAATCAAATACAGATGCTCCTTGACTTACAATGGTGTTACGTCCCAATAAATCTGTGTTAAGTTGAAAATACCATTAGGTAAAAATGCATCTAATATGCCTAACCCACTGAGTATCATAGCTTAGCCTAGCCTACCTTATATGTGCTCAGAACATTTACATTACCCTATCCTTGGGAAGATCATCCAAAAAAAAGCCAATTTTACAATAAAGTGTTGAACAGCTCATGTAACTTACTAAATGCTATATACTGAAAGTGAAAATTGAATGGATTTATGTGTATTCAAATACAGTTTCTACTAAATGCATATCACTTTTGCACCAAAGTCAAAAAATTATAAGTCTGGCACTATCTGTACTAATCAGATAGGCAAAAGAAGCAAAACCAAGGGAAAAGGGCTGAATCATCTTCCAACTGATTAAAGTTTTTGGGAAGCATTTGATAAAATCTGTTTTAGAAGTACATACAAGGCTATCTGCCAAATGAGGATTACTAGTGCTCTTAACTAGTGCTTGTTGATTTGAGTATAATTGTAATAGGTTGTTTTAAATATAATGGATGTCTAAAGAAGAGTTGTTAAATCTAAATAAAGGTATATGGCCATATGAAGACTATATGATTCACTTATGAGGACTCTAGGTATTTGTCAAAAATATGTACTTTTAATAAAATGCTTGTTTCGTATTACTTTCCATCTCTGCAATGATCTCCTTCTGATACCTCTGCCTCCTCATCTCTTAGAGTAAAAGACAAATATTTTAAACAACCCACATCACCCAAGATATTTGCCCAAATTTCACTCCTCCCCTACTTATTTGCCAACTTTATTTTTTACTCCTCTTCGCTTCTTATCCAAGGCTCCAGCCTCTCTTGACATCCTACAACTCACTGGGCACACTTACACCTCACCTCAGAGTCTTTATCCTTGTCTGCAAGACATGACCATTCCTCCCCCAAATTCTCATCAGCTATATTACATCAATACTCGGATGTCATCCTCTCTGTAATATCTAACACATATTTGAAATTGCAACCTTCACTATACCTCTTTCTTTTATTTCTAAATAAATGTTATTATATCAATTTCTAATATGATATATATATATATATATATATATATATATATATATATATGTAAAATACACTTGTCTGTCTCCTCAGTAGAATGAAAGTTCTTAAAGGCAGGGGTTTTTGTCTGTTTGGGGCAGCACTATACCCTCAAGACATAGAAAAGTCTGCACATAAATATTTGAAGAATGCAGGAATGATTTTGATAAGCACTCTGTGAATATTTTGGTCATAAGTGTTTTGTAGGTAAATTACAGTCTAATTAACCCTTTAACGATGAATATAGGAAAAACTAATAACTTCATAATTAGAAATGATTCATGATCAAATAAACACTAAAATAATTAAATCTATTTTTATGTTTTTTAGTTTCTAAAGCAATAGAACATGATGATTAAATAGACCAATACTTTGGGAATTAAACTTTCGAAACTGAGGCCAGGCACGGTGGCTCACACCTGTAATCCTAACATTGTGGGAGGCAGAAGCAACAGGATTGTTCAAGCTCAGGAGTTTGAGACCAGCCTGGGCAACATAGCAAAACCCTGTTTCTACAAAATAATTTTAAAAAATTAGCTGGCTGTGTTGGCACATGCCTGTTAGTCCCAGCTACTTGGGAGGCTGAGGCAGGAGGATCCCTTGAGCTTATAAGGCCAAAGCTAACGTGAGGCATCACCACTGCACTGCAGCCTAGGCAACAGAGTGAGACCCTGTCTCTTAAAAGAGAAAATAAATAAATAAGTAAATAAGTAAAATACCTAAATTGAATCAATATAAGTATTATTCGTGTATTACTGAAAAAGGGCACAGCCCTTGTGACAACATGGGTTTGAGCCTAGGCTTTTCTATAATTGACAATTTCAGCACAGAGTTGAATTTTCTGAAATGATAGAAATGTTCTATATCTGTGTTGATCAACATGACAGCCACTAGCCACATGTGACCATTAAGCACTGGAAATGTAAATGGTATGACTGAGGGTCAAAACTTTTACCTTTATTTAATTGTAATTAATTTTTATTTTTTATAGTCACAAGTGGACAAATTGTTGTTCAATTGGTGTAAAGTTTCACTTATAAAAGATGAATTAGTGGCCGGGTGCGGTGGCTCAAGCCTGTAATCCCAGCACTTTGGGAGGCCGAGACGGGCGGATCACAAGGTCAGGAGATCGAGACCATCCTGGCTAACATGGTGAAACACCGTCTCTAATAAAACTACGAAAGAATTAGCCGGGTGTGGTAGCGGGCGCCTGTAGTCCCAGCTACTCGGGAGGCTGAGGCAGGAGAATAGCATGAACCCGGGAGGCGGAGCTTGCAGTGAGCAGAGATCGTGCCACTGCACTCCAGCCTGGGCAACAGAGCGCGACTCCGTCTCAAAAAAAAAAAAAAAAAAAGATGAATTAGTTTCAGAGATCTTCTACACAGCATAGTACCTATAGTCAAAAGTACTGTATTGTGCCCTTGAAGATTCATTAAAAGGGTAATTTCAGGATAAGAGTTTTTACCATAAATAAATAATCCACCATCCCCACTGAAAAAAATAGTCACATGTGGCTAATGGCTACCATATTAGACAGCTCAGGCTTAGATATATTTAAGGCAATGTTTTAGGCATTATTTTTTACTTCTCTGTTATTTAGTTTTACCATATGCAAAATGAAATTAAAAATAGTTATTTTTAAGTGCTAACATTGGGATTACATTTAATAAATATGTCAACTGTTTCTATTACACTGTCTGATCCATCATGTGTGCCCAAATGGATGCTATTGTTACTACGGTTATTTTCTAATCATCATGGTAGGTTTACTGAATTGTCAAAGCTTCTCTCCTGACCACTGTGACTCTGACATTTGTGAGGCCACAAGCCAGAACCTGACCCATTGTGATGGACACAATAGTCCCATGCTCTCATAAACTCAGCTTGCTGCTCCATTTGTTTTAGTTACTGGTTCAATCCAAGCCTCTGGGGGGAAATATATACATGATATACATATATATGACATACATATATAACTAAAACATAATATATATACACAATATATATTTAATGAATGTATATATTTAACTAAATATGTTTATATATTTAAGTATATGTGATGTATATATTGTATTTTAGTTATATATGTATATCATAACATATGTATATTTGTATATATGTATATATTATGTATATATAATGTAGATATTGTTTTAGTTATATATAATAAACATATATACACATATAAAAATATAAATATATTTATTTAAATATGTATGTATATTTCAGTTACATATGTATATCATATATATATTTAACTAAATAAAATATATATGTTTTAGTTGATGGTTCAAGACAACCTTCTAGGGGAAAATACACACACACACACACACACACATAATAGATATACACACACAGACATACACACATATATATGAAGGAAATGCTTTAATAAGAATAAAGAAGCTAATGATTGAAACATAATTTCAAGCAGACTGGTTTTCTAACTACAAAGATGTCAGGGTCATGTTCCACAGTTGGTTTGCAGAGTCCACACTCCTGGTACTATCTTATTCTCTATCTGTCATTTGCAGGCTTTAGTAAAGAAGACATACCTAGTCTTAATTTTCATACTACTTATTATAGAAACAATAAACTTATACGCTTTATAAAATAATTCATGTCCTGTCCAGAAATACTGCACTATTTTTTTTATTGCAAAGGGCATTCCCATTTCTATCCTGATTTAGGATCATACCTGGATAAAGATTCTCAAACTTTTCCACAATTATTTATACACACACACACATACATTCATCCACGCATATATATATATACACACATATTATGTATCTATACATCTACACATACATATATATTTACACATGTACATGTGTGAGTTTTTTTCCATTTTATATCACAGCTTTTGACTGGTAACAGCTGATGGCATGTCATAAAACAAATCCTTTTTCAGTAACATGAAATCACAAAAGAAATGCCCATAACTACATTAATTTAAAAGAAATGTAAGACATTATCTTTTGTCAAATTTGTTTAATAAGCTTTCATCCTTAAGTTCATCCTCTATTCCTATTTGTCCATTTTATGCCTAGAGACACAGGAAAATTATTTTTTAATTGATTTTTAAAATATAGATGCTATTTTTTCATATTTTTAAACATTGGCCTGCAAAATTAAAAACACATACACATATATACACCGTAAGTATTGGACAATCAAACTGTAAGTTTTAACCCTTGGTGTGTCTGCTCAACCAATATCCCCCTTTTATTAATAGACACATACACACACACCTGGGCCCTAAAACCACGTTTATGTTAAATTTATACAATAGTGTCTAGGGCATAGAATGTGCTCAGTACAACTTGAATGAGTGAAGGAATAAACTGATTCTGACCTCCTGGCTACTATGGATTGAACCAAGATATTTAGCTATATTTGGCCAATCAATTGGCAGTAAAGACTGAAATTTTACTCACTAATTTGGATGTCCTACAGTAGTTTTACTGCTAGGGCAGCAATCTGATACCATATACACTGAAAAGCAAAGTTAGTTTAGGTGTAGAGAGTAAGAAGAAAGAGAATAAAAATAAAAGAATAATTCAATGAGCTATATCTATATTCTGTCAGTACATTTCGCTTTGCCTAGATCATAGAGAACCCTGTACTCACAAACAAAAGACTCATGACAGAGACACTATTTCTGCCATTTGGCAACCAAAGCCATCCCTAAGGGCTTCATCCCCATCGGCCTTTTACAAAATGGCATTGACCATTCACTGATCCTGCTGTCAGTGCCTTCCTCCCTCGTTACTCCTCTATGTGCTCTCTCCTAAATTGTTGTGGGGTTCATGCTTTACTTCTCCTCTCAATTTTAGTACAGCTTGAAGATCCAATATATTCCGAACTATTTGCAGTCATTAACCAGCACAGTAAAAGCTGTATTAAGTGAACCAAAAGACTAATTTACTAAAATATACCCTTAATCAACTAAATGCCTTAATGCAACTTTCACATAGTAAAGTAAGACTGATTAGCTGTTCATCAAACTTTCTTCCTCTTATTTTGGGGTACATAGGGGGACTACTAATTTCCACTCTCCCTTATAGGTAAACGGAGTCATGTGACCAAATTTTAGTGAATAGAAGGCAAGCAGAGTCAATGTGTCTCACTTGTAGGGTGGCTCATGAAAATCTCCCATACATGCTTCTTCACATCTCTTTCTCTTTTGGCTGACTGAAATACAGAAAACTGCTGCAATCTTGGAAGCCACATATTGAAGTTAACAGAGTCACAAAATGGAAAAACTTGGATTTCTGCATCATTGCTTGGATGAGAGCCTCTACCAATCAGGATCTCTCACTTTGAACTTTACATGAGTGAGAAATAAATGTCTATTTTATCAAGCCACTGAAATGCTGAAGTTCATCTATTACCTCACCAGCACTGCCCTAAAATGTACAAAGAAGACGGCTAATGGCCTTATTCCTTTAGTTGTTATATTGAAGAGGAAAAGGTAGTAAAGCAGAAGAAAGCCAGCAATATAAGCCTAACAGAAGAAATCCAGGTGCCTTCTGCCATCATAGTGTATGGAATACAGATGTTTCAGCATAAATATTAAGATCAAAAGACTGAGATAATTATCACTCACAAAAGGAAGACAGGAAAGCTATGAGGATGCACCTGATGCTGAATAGTAGGAGGAGTACTCATTGCAGCTGTCATTGAACTGATTATCTGAAGGCAAAGCAATGCTATTTTGTGCAAACAATATATAATACTTAGGGAATGGCAATTAGAATCATGAGTCCTTGCGTAAGTGAATGGAGCCTGATGGTGTTTACTCGATTTTAAATAGCTGGGGTAGTGATAGAAAAATAAGCCCTTCAAAGCACTTTGGAAATTTCACTGTCAGGACATTAATGACAAACTAATCCCAAGAAGCTGGGTAAATCAGGAGAGAACTAAGGAAGAAAATCTCACAGCTAGTATTTGTGGGGGTTCTCCCCTGAGGTCTCCCCCATCATCTGTTTCCATAGTAACTCCAGGTTTCCATGATGTTTACAGATGGCATTCATTTAATGTCAAAACACTTAATGAAAAAAATCTACTACGTATAGAGAATGCACTACTTGCCAGAGCACTTGATGCTAATTCAGCACATACATGTGCATTTTAACAACAACTTAATGGCAACACTAATACATAGCAATAATTTACTGGGCATTTTTTGCCACAAGAGTAAAACAGTTAAAAGCTATGTCTTGGCAGCTCAATTCTGCTACCAGATCCATTTCCAAAGCTCTTTAACATGAGGACTGACATATTACAAGCTGTTTTGTGGGACATATCATCCCCTTTTTTCCTTGGCATTTTGTCCTGTATTTAAATTAGGAACACAACAATGTGGTGATAACCACAACTATTCTTAGTGTGACTTAAATTGTTTCTTTGCTTTAAGCCAATCTCAAATACATTTAGTTTGGAAAATTATATTATTTATAATAACTAACATGAAATGCTTACTCTTTTTATGCAATTATCATGCAGTCCAATCTCAGTAATGCATTTAATTAACTATACATGTCTCATTCTGTGGCAAATTTTATTGGGTTACAACAAAAAATTTGTGTTTTAAAAACACTCAGGTTTCATTCTTTGTTTTTTTTTTTTTTTGTCACCTAAGTTGAACTTAGAAAACTTAGTGACAATTCTTCCAGCAGACCATGCAACTGGGCATTTTGAAATAAGCCTTTAGTAGGTATAATTAATTTAAATCTCATCAAAATGAGAACTGCATTTAGTCCAATATGTAAATCTACCCATAAGACAGAGACAGCAGATAGAAATATTGCACCTCAGGCTTCCAAAAATGATCACTCCCACAGAAATACAAATCAGTGTCTTGGATAATCAGGCATCAAGCAGTGTAATTAAGTGGCTGGTTTTAATTCAAAATGTTACATCTCAGAATCTAGGCATCAATAATTTAGATGGAACGTACTCTGAATTACATTTGGTTGAAAGTGTTGGGGGAATGTACTTAAGAAGAAAATCCAGACTGACAAGTTAAGGGATGCCTGATGGAGATACTGTTTGTCTCTAGAATATTTTCTGAGGCAGCATCACGGAACTTTATAAAAGGTGTTTGGAGTTGGGGGACAGTCAGGGAAGGAAGAAGAGTGCAGAGTAGAGTGGAAGAGAATGATCTTCAAAACCAGGTTGGATTTCTTCTTCTGTAATTTGAAGAGACTTAGGATACAACAACTTAAGATATCTTACTTTAAATTCATTTCACTCTAACAATTATTTACTGAGAACTGACTCTAAGGTAGATATTGCTGTACATGCTAAATGAATGGGATGATATACAAAGACAAGTGAGACAATAAAACTTACCTGAAAGAGTTAATGAGTTGGTGGGGCTGTGCACTGTCAACACAGATATGATATATAAAAATAAATAAATATAATGTTTGACAAAATACATACATCTTCTATGGAATTCAGAGGAAACAGGGTCACACTTTCTTAAGATGATCAAGGGGTGTTTCAATAAAGGAAATCACTGTAAGATGGCCCTAGAATGGATTATAACAGTCACTGATTCAATGAAGGAGAGATGCCTCATGGAAGAATTAGTATTAATAAAACCTTTAATTATTGCTCCTGCAGGAACTACCCCAAAGCACATGGGTGAGTCCCTATCTGTGCACTTTGGTGCTCTGGCCCACTCCCCATAGCTGAGGTGGAGGTTGATGTAAGCTAGACCATTCAGGCTCTTCAGATTTTGTATTTTCAACTGAGATGCATGGATACTGAGAGCTGCTGGGAGCTGAGTCCAGAGAAAACAGCTAGAGGTAAACCTCCTGAATCCTAGGTACTGGAATGCAGAAGAGGTTAATTGGTTCCCAAACTTTATGAGATTTGTTTCACTTTTTATTTTGTGATGTGTTTCTTTTTACTCTTCCTTAGATAGCTGAAATAGTCCCTTTGTATTTAAATTAGCTCCAATTTGTATGTGAAATAGCAACCAGCTTGTATCTCAAATAGCAAACTGTCCTTATTCAATTAATGCCGATATTCCAAAAGGTAATTGTGCTTCAGAAGCGCACAAGATCCATTTTTGGTTGTTTGAATGGAAGTTAGGGGCATTTAGACAAAGTCCTTTATTACAACATTAAGAAGTTGATGCCTTCAGATACGGTAAAGACATTGAAGACTTTCAAGTAGAACAAAGGTATGATTGGGACTAAACTTTAAGACAGATCGTTGGCAGTGTGGTTTAGTTCAAATAGAAGATTACAAGTTCAAAGAGTGGTGTATGAGCCTGCATCAGTGGTTCAGGTGGTAAGGTCTTACAAGGAAGCTGCATGCATTTCTGCAGGTTTTGCAGTACAAAACATTAAGGAACACTATTCAAATCCTATTCTATGTGAATGGAACCCTTGAAAGTGTGCGATGCACAACTTACTTGACTTTATGCAGTAGTTCGTAGAGTATGAAATGGGGTAGTAGCCATGACATTTAAAGGAAAGAAAATGAAAGATTTTATCAACATAAAATTTGAAAGTGTTGAAAATATTTTGGAAATGATTATTGAATTACTAGGAGAGGGCAAAGTGACATCTCTATTTTTTTTATTTCTTCTAAAAAAAAGAGGGGGGAACATGCAGGTTTGTTACATAGGTATACGTGTGCCATGATGGTTTGCTGCACCTATTGATCCATCCTCTAATTTCCCTCTCCCAACCCTCACTCCCCAGCAGGCCTTGGTGTGTGTTGTTCCCCTCTCTGTGTCCATGTGTTCTCAATGTTCAACTCCCATTTATGAATGCGAACATGCGGTGTTTGGTTTTCTGTTTCTGTGTTAGTTTGCTGAGGATGATAGCTTCCAGCTTCATCCATGTCCCTGCAAAGGACATGATCTCATTTCTTTTCCTGGCTGCATAGTATTCCATGGTGCATATGTACCACATTTTCTTTATCCAGTCTATCACTGATGGGCATTTGGGTTGGTTCCAAGTCTTGCAATTGTAAATAGTGCTGCCATAAACATACATGTGCATGTATCTTTATAGTAGAATTACTTATATTCCTTGGGTATATACCTAGTAATGGGTTTGCTGGGTCAAATGGCATTTCTGGTTCTAGATCCTTGAGGAATCACCATACTGTCTTGCTTAATGGTTGAACTAATTTACATTCCCACCAACAGTGTAAAAGCATTCCTATTTCTCCACAGCCTCGCCAGCATCTATTGTTTCCTGACTTTTTAACAATCACCATTCTGACTGGTGTGAGATGGTATCTAATTGCAGTTTTGATTTGCATTTCTCTGATGATCAGTGATGTTGAGCTTTTTTTCATATGTTTACTGGCCATGTAAATGTCTTCTTTTGAGAAGTGTCTGTTCATATCCTTTGACCACTTTTTGATGGGGTTGTTTTTTCTTGTTTTATGTTTAAGTTTCTTGTAAATTCTGGATATTAGACCTTTGTCAGATGGGTAGTCTGCAAAGCTTTTCTCCCATTCTGTATGTTGCCTGTTCACTCTGATGGTAGTTTCTTTTGCTGTGCAGAAGCTCTTTAGTTTAACTAGATCCCATTTGTCAATTTTGGCTTTTGTTTCAATTGATTTGGGCATTTTTGTCATGAAGTCTTTGCACATGCCTATGTCCTGAATGGTATTGCCTAGGTGTTCTTCCAGGGTTTTTATGGTTTTGGGTTTTACATTTAAGTCTTTAATCCATCTTGAGTTAATTTTTGTATAAAGTGTAAGGAAGGGGACCAGCTTCCATTTTCCGCATATGGCTAGCCAGTTTTCCCAGCACCATTTACTGAATAGGAGATCCTTTCCCCATTGCTTAT
The DNA here is from genome assembly GCF_000001405.40 of Homo sapiens. Taxonomy (NCBI): domain Eukaryota; kingdom Metazoa; phylum Chordata; class Mammalia; order Primates; family Hominidae; genus Homo; species Homo sapiens. The sequence goes on along the minus strand of NC_000011.10, from coordinate 104,499,867 downwards.
TTTTGTCAGGTTTGTCGAAGATCAGATGGTTGTAGATGTGTGGTGTTATTTCTGAGGTCTCTGTTCTGCTCCATTGGTCTATATGTCTGTATTGGTACCAGTACCATGCTATTTTGGTTACTGTAGCCTTGTAGTACATTTTGAAGTCAGGTAGCGTGATGCCTCCAGCTTTGTTCTTTTTGTTTAAGATGCTCTTCTCTATATGGGGTCTTCTTTGATTCCATATGCAATTTAAAATAGTTTTTTGTAACTCTGTGAAGAATGTCAATGATAGTTTGATGGGAATAGCATTGAATCTATAAATTAGTTTAGGCAGTATATCAATTTTCATGATATTGATTCTTCCTATCCATGAAGATGGAATGTTTTTCCATTTGTTTGTGTTCTCTCTTATTTTCTTGAGCAGTTGTTTGTAGTTATCCTTGAAGAGGTCCTTCACATCACTTGTTAGCTGTATTCCTAGGTATTTTATTCTCTTTGTAATGATTGTGAATGGGAATTCATTCATGATTTGGCTCTCTGCTTGCCTGTTGTTGATGTAAAGGAATGCTTGTGATTTTTGCATATTGATATTGTATTCTGAGACTTTGCTGAATTTGCCTATCACTTCCAGAAGTTTTGGGGCTGAGATGATGTGGTTTTCTAAATATAAAATCATGTCATCTTCAAACAGAGACAACTTGATTTCCTCTCTTCCTATTTGAATACGATTTATTTCTTTCTCTTGCCTGATTGCCCTGGCCAGAACTTCCAATAATGTGTTGAATAGGATTGGTGAGAGAGGGCATCCTTGTCTTGTACCAGTTTTCAAAGGGAATGCTTCCAGCTTTGGCCCTTTCAACATGATATTGTCTTTGGGTTTTTCATAAATAGCTCTTATTATTTTGAGACATGTTCCACCAATACCTAATTTATTGAGAGTTTTTGACATAACTGGATGTTGCATTTTATCAAAGGCCTTTACTGCATTTATTGAGGTGACATCTGTATTTTAAACCCAGGTAACTTGAAGAACTATAGCAACATTCCTATAGAAACAGCCATCAGAAAAAAGAGCTCAGTATGGACTCTGGAGTGAAATATGAAGTTTAAGATGATGTTGGCATTTATATAGGGTAAGTTTGAGATGCCTGCATGATATTATAATGGAGATAGTCAATATAAGTCTAGATCTGAAAGCTACTGGAATGAAGGTGATACTTGCAATCACATAAGTGGGTGAGATCACAGAAAAGAAGAAATAAAAGTAGGAAAAGAGCAAAAGCAAAGAGTTTAGGGAATGCTTACGTTCAATCCTTAAATAAACTATGAAGAGAAAGAAAACACAAGAAAGGAATACGTGGAAGAACATAAAAGCCAAAGGATGAGAGAGTTTTGACAAAACAAATGAGGCAAAGAATGTCAAGTTGCATAGAAAAACCAGAAAAGGAGAAGGAAAGGGATAGAGAAGATTTATTAAAGGCATTTGGATTGGATAATTGATAAATAATCAGTTACCATCAGAAGTAGAGTTATTATCAAGATACTTGTGGTCAAAAGAGAAAAATGAATATAGAAACATAAAAATTAAGATAAAAGTTTTGTTTGTTTCTTTGTTTGAGACTGTGTCTTCTTCTGTTGCCCAGGCTGGAGTGCAGTGGCATGATCTCAGCTCACTGCAACCTCCGTCTCCTGGGTTCAAATGATTCTCCTGCCTCAGCCTCCCAAGTAGCTGGGACTACAGGCGCGCACCACCATACCCTGCTAATATTTGTACTTTTAGTAGAGATGAGGTTTCACTGTGTTAGCCAGGATGGTCTCGATCTCCTGACCTCGTGATCTACCCGCCTTGGCCTCCCAAAGTGCTGGGATTACAGGTGTGAGCCACTGTGCCCAGCCTAAAGGTATTGTTTTTTATTTGAAGGTTTGCAGAGATGTAAGCAAATGTATGAGAAAGAGAACAAAGTAGAAAGAGATAAAAAATGGAAGGAAGTGGAACTTGATGGATCAAGGTGTTTCAGAGGAGATGGAAAGGGAGTCACTCAAGGCCAAGCAAAGGGATTGGACTTAGTTTAAAAGAGAGATGATTCCCGTCATGTCAGAAATAAGGGAAGAGAGGATCCATAAAACCACAGATACTGTAACTGAATGTATAAAAGTAGAGAAAGTGTACATAAAATTCATATAGGCCTTGACCTCAATAAAAAATGAGAAGACATCTGCTGAAATTGAGGGACTTATGGTAATGATAGAGGACAAACTCAAAACTGCTCAGGCAAATTATTATCTTTTTATCATTACAGAGAAAGCTGGGAGTAATTCTATTGAAAACTTGTGCATTTGTTTCCAAGACTTCAGTACACAGGTGGACAATGGGGATACATTTTTAACTCTAATTATTTCTCTCTTTGCCCCAGCTTCTGGAAAGGAACCATGTCTCTTTCTTAGCAAGGTGTGCCTCACCTGTGTCTTTCATTCTATCTATTCTTCCAACTCTGAGATCCAGATTCAAGACTGAATTTTTGTATACACATCTCTTCTTTATCTTCTGGGTAGAGACTTTGCATATTTGAAAAAAGTGCAATTTATAAGGCCATCATATATGCCTTATAACATTCTATGAGCCAGAGAGATGCTATGATTACTCTCATTTTACATGTGGAAAGACAAGCACAGAATGATTTTTCTGAAGTCCCACAGAAATGAGTGGTGGAGCCAAAATGAAAATCTTCAGTTTGACTCCAGAGCCCATTTTTTAACTATTTTTTGTTTTCCTCATCCCCAACTTATTGAATAAAAATTATATTGTATTATTGCTGCCTCTACTTACTTTCTAAAAAATGCCTTAATACACCATTTCTCAAAGTGTGGTGATTATGTGACCTCGAGAGGAATCACCTGAGGTGCTTATTTAATCTCCTGGGGTGCCTGTTTATTAAAAATGCAGATCCCCTGGGCTCCACTCATCGCAAGGTGATTGAGAATCCAGCAGCTTTGTTTTAGTAGGTTTACCACATAACTCTTAAATGTCCTGAAGTTTGAGAACACCTGACTTAAACACTTGCAATCTGATTTCTGCTACCAATTGTAATCTTCAATAACATATATTTGTACAAGTAAACTCTCATCATTTCTGAAAAGCATTCCTAGGTTTCCCCAAAACTCCTCATTATTCATTCAATTTCTCTTCCAGCCTGGCCTCTTCCTCCCTTTCCAGCACCGATTACTTGCTGTAGCTCCCCTCCCCTTACATTCTATGTGATAAAGTCTACAATCAGTGAAATACTTCTCACTCTATGCCGAGTCTGTGCTTTTTCTTGTTTGGAAAATTTTGCTTCAGCTGCTGTGTGAATTGCCTTTTCTAACACACTCGTCTCATAACTCAAGGCCCAGCTACAATGACATCCACAATATGCAGACATTCCCATGTCCTTGATGCAGTCAAACAATTTTTCATCCGGATACCAAAGCACTTTTTAAAAAGTCACTAAGTTATATTCTATATTCTCTGAACATATTCATAAATACAACTATCTATATTCTATGATAGCTGTATTTTTGTTTTTCTTAGATTGTGAGCTGCTTAGAGACAGGAGTACTGATCTCTAGAACAATCTAGTAGAAAGGAGGGGTAGAGATTGGGTAAAGGGACCAATACACAATCATTTGAGATATGCTATTAAGATCCCTGACGCTCCTAAGGCAGGAACAGCCAGAGAAGTTTTGGGATGGGCCATGAAAAAGATATGACAAGAAAGAATCATCAGGTGACTCAAAGGGAACAGAGAATTTAGAATCCAAGATATATGTTTATTACAAAGAAGTCACAAGCCTGGTCTATTTAATGGATGCCTAGTCTACATATTAATGTGAGGAAAAGCCTTCATATCTGAAGAAAGAAAATAAAGAAATTGCATGAAGAAATATGCTTATCAGCTGTCAAACATAATATTAAATGTACTTGACATTTTCCAAATTGGTGTAAATTTCTTTGTGACTTTTTCTGAACTACTTTCAAATGGGTATGAAAGGATGAAGCTATATGTGTCCAATGAACTGAAGAGACATTTTTAAAGAAAAATTATGCAATCATTTTCTATTATGGTCAGACATTTTAGAATGATGAAAATTCACTAAACCAGAAACATATGAATTATAGCCACAATGCCCCTAATAATTTCATTTTAGCTACTGATACTACTCTTGGGTTTAAACTAGCATAATGCAAATCTTTAGAATGAATTAGGAAGCAGCAATGTGGTGTTTGTGTGTGTGTGTGTGTGTGTGTGTGTGTGTGTAGAAAACTTATTAATGAAGTAACTGTGTTGACTTTTTCCTCCCAAATCTTGTGGGGAGAAAATTTAATATATTTATCTGATCAAATACCTCAATCAATCCTTATAAATACATATGCCTTGTTAAATACCTTGGCTCTGAATTTGGGATAATTGCATCTTTGAGACTGTCTAGCCTTATATTCAATAGTTGACTTAAAAATATTATATTGAGGAACTTAATAAAAAAATACCCTTTTCTTTTATGCCTTAGAAAAACCTCTTAAAGAGTTTATTGTACTCTCTCTCAATCCTTGTAATCAGGAGAGATGCTTTCCTTTCTGTTACTGCACAACTACTGTACTTTAATCTTACTCTATCTGGACTATGATTCCTACATCTTTGCCAATCCAGAAAAATAAATCTATCTTAGGTATAAAAGCAAAGCAAAACAAATCAAAAAGAAATCTGAGAGTGAGTTATAAACCTAAATGAGTTTATAGTACTTCTTGTTTTTGATGTTTTTAAATTTTAGTCTCTTTTTTCTATGGTTTGAATAGGAATGTTTATTTATTTACTTATTTATTTATTTACTTTGTGGGAGACTGGAGTTTTACTATTACTGAAATCAGTCTCCTCCAGCACTTGGGGATCTGAGTTCTTAAGGATAATTTGGTAGGTGGGGGAAGACGAATGAGTCAAGAGTGCTGATTGGTTAGTTCAGAGATGAAACCATAGGGAGTCAAAGCTGTCTTCTTGCACTGGGTCAGTTCCTGGGTTGGGGCCACGAGATCAGATAAGCCAGTTTATTCATCTGGGTGGTGCCAGCTGATCCATCAAGTGCAGGGTCTGCAAAATATCTCAAGCACTGATCTTAGGAGCTGTTTAAGGAGGGTCAGAATCTTGCAGCCTCCAGCTGCATGACTCCCAAACCATAATTTCTAATCTTGTGGCTAATGTATTAGACCTACAAAGGCAGTCTCGTCCTCCAGCAAGAAGGAGATTTGTTTTCGGAAAGGGCTGTTATCATCTTTGTTTTAAACTATAAACTAAGTTCCTCCCAAAGTTTTCAGCCTACACCCAGGAATGAACAAGGGCAGCTTGAAGGTTAGAAGCAAGACAGAGTTGGTTAGGTAAGATCTCTTTCACTGTCTCAGTTACAATTTCGCAATGGCAGTTTCAATCCCTCCCTTTGGGTTTTATAACACCTTAATCTTAAGGTGTTGGCTAAAGAAGATGGAAAAAGGGTTAAGCCTACTCTCACTTCTTCCTGCTGACCAAAGGTGTATTGGGGATAGGTGTTGACCCCAAGGTGAGAGGAGTTGAACTGCTTTGCAACTGTCTAAGCATACTTATGCAGGCCTGGCTGGGGTTCCAAGGCTTCCATGGCAAAGGTGTTAATATTATCATCTAAAATTTTAGTACCATATTTAAGGAAATAGCATGCTATAAGGTAAATACTGACTACTAGGATAAACAGTGCAATTCCCAGTTTTAAAAGTAAAGATCTGAAAGCATTAGCTTGGGGACTTGCAGCACACAAAGAATTTAGGATTTAGTTCAAACTGCAGAAAAACTCAAGAACACTCAAGAACAGCTAACAACAGGTGTACTATAATTTTTCTTTTGAAGCATAATTTTTCTCTCTCCAGTCCCCATTTTTATCAAAAACAAATCATGATAGAACTGACTTGTTTACCAAATAAACTTTAGTCTTACTCTATTCAGCCTGATTATTTGATAAAGCATAGCAAGAATAATTATTTTTCACATGCGCTTTTTAAATTGTCTTTGATGGAACTCTGTTTCATAAGGAATCTGAGATAAGACTTTTTTAAAGCTGAGCCAAACCATGGGTTTGTACCCCCAAATGCCTATGAGTTGGGTAAATTTCTTTCCTTTTGAGGCCCAAAGATAACTTAGGACTACTGGGCCTATTAGAAAGTGACATTCTTTACTTACCATAAATCAGGAACCCTATACAGGGACTATGTATGCAAGGTATGAGGCCAGTTTTCCCAAGGGGCTTTTATTGGCTATAAAAGTCAAGTTTGATTCCTTAAAGGAAATCAAGTCATTCAAATCCTTGGTAAAATAACCAGTTTCCCCAATTGTGTCCTGTTACAAAAGAAAACAGGTTCTTTTTTTCTTTTTTTTTTTTTGAGATGGAGTCTCACTCTGTCACCTAGGTTGGAGTGCAGTGGTGCGATCTTGGCTCACTGCAACCTTTGCCTCCTGGGTTGAAGCGATTCTCCTGCCTCAGCCTCCCAAGTAGCTGGGACTACAGGCATGTGCCACCATGCCTGGCTAACTTTTCTGTATTTTTAGTAGAGATGTGGTTTCACCATGTTAGCCAGGATGGTCTCGATCTCCTGACCTCCTGATCTGCCCACCTTGGCCTCCCAAAGTGCTGGGATTACAGGCATGAGCCACCACGCCCAGCCCAGATAAACGGTTCTTATCGCACTTTTGCAAATAACTCTACTGCCTTAAGTTGAGAATACTCACAAATAGTTTCCAAATTCTGGAGAAATCAGGCAGAGAGAAACAAACATGCTCCAAATTTTGCTCACAGGAGTATATTTCACTCAATTGTTAAAAGCTGCAGATAGCTCAAAAGAAAAGTTTTATTGGCTCTGGAAAACAGAAACTATCAGCAATGTTTTAAGCAAAAAAAGTCAAAAAGAAGATTACATCAGTTTTCTATTAGTTCACTCCATTCAGTTAACTCCTGTTCTGCTTGATATTCATGAACATTTCAGTTAACTCCTGTTCTGCTTGATATTCATGAACATTTCAGCTCTCCATAGGAGTCCTGAAAGTTTTTTCCCTTTATTCTAATGTCACAACCTCCAAAGTTATCAGAAACTTGCATTCAAGAGCACAAGTCATTTTATAGCTGATTATAAATCACCAATAAAAGAGGATTGAAATAAGACAATTGTCTATGGATCATGAAATATCTTAGGACAGTCACTGTTAAAGACAATTGACAAGAAAATGTGTTACCTCTGTGGCACACAATAATTTTACATAACAATTATAATTATTACTGATATTTTAACCATAGAGCTACTTTTCCTTAAAAAAAAAAACTGTTCAAATCTCTTATTACCAGATTCTAGCCCATACAGCCAATATTTCTGGCTTTTTTATTCTACCACAAGTAACTTCCCACATGAAATTAATAAGTTTTAACTAAGGTCATAAATTAACCATGGATGCATAAGATGTTTCAAATAGATAGTAAGCAGTTTATTTTTTATTTTATTATTATTTTTACAATGTTTAGGATCTCCCTGAGGGTAGTTTAGAGAAAGGAAAATCCAAGACATGAAATCAAAAGCTATCCATGGGGGGAAACAAAACAAAAAACCATTTGATTAATAGCAAAGTTAACAAATAACAAATCAGAAAGGATTTATTCCAGAAGCCAAGAATTGAACCCAGATTGCCATTGTCAAAAACACAAAGTCTTAGCTACTGAGCTACACAGCATCAAGCAGTTTCTGTTGCCCTTCACAGAAGAAGTGTATAGCAGCCAATTTCAAGCTTGGGAAAGCTTTTCACTGCTCAAGAAAATTTGTAGGGCTAACTATACATGAACCCCAACATTCCTGCCTTGTGGATGGTGGAGACCAAGAGAAAGTGTCCCCACATGATCACAAGGTTAAGCTCTTAAGGACACAAAACCAGACAGAGAAATTTTATCTAGTATTGGTTTCAGGGACCCACAGTAAAGTTTAAAACTGACCAGCCTGCTGGACTAGCTTGTAAAGCAGGCTTTTAGGGGTTGTAAACTCTTGTTCTATCCTGTGATACCTGTCTCCCCATTGCAGAACAACAAAGAAAGATAAATTCTTAGCAAAAGTGCACCAGATTTGTCATGGCCTATGACTAATCTTACAAATCCTTTTCTCTATTGATCAAACTCTTGCAGGAGACAAATAGTGACATTTACCCCTTACACTCACAAAGAGAGAGTGAGAGAGAGAGAGAGAGAGAGAAAGAGAGAGACCAGAAAGGCACCAGTGGTAAGAATTTCTTACCCTTTTCACCAGAATTTCTTAACCTTTTCACTGGCATACCAGGTTTCTGGGTTCCCTTTTTCTGCAGCTTCCAGAGAACAAATGCCATAGCTGTGACAGTCAAGCCACTTTATAAAAGAAAATCACCCTTTTCTGTTTTATGGAACTATAGGCAAAAGAAACTTATTTTGCAAGACGCTGCCCAATGGGCTGCATGAGCAACTGAATTAACATTTTCCATCCCAGCAAAGTACACATAACAAAACAGAGTTACCTCATTTAGCACCCAATAGTAACCTGGCAAAGCTCAAACTTTCTCTCATTGGTCCTTGTTGTCTTCTATCCACTCCAGGTGGGGAGAGATCACCTCGGAATTGTAATTCACAATGGGTAGTCTCTGGGCAAGGTGAAGAGCAAATGGTCACCCTGAGACAGGCCTGTTGAGCTTTCTTCAGGGCTCACAGAATGTGGCCAGACCAATAAGGAGGATTCTCTGAGTTAGGGCTGCTAGACTTCCATCAGCAATTCTTTCTGAGATCCCCTCCACATTCACAAAAACACACAAAGACAAAACAGACAGAAGGCCTTCCAAATCAGATCCTTAACCAAGAACTCCAAGAGTATTCCTTCCAAACTATCCTCCTATTCTCTGTCTGAGAAATATCCCCAAAATCTTCCTGATTGAGGAGAAGTCTCCTGAACCAAGACTTTTCCTAGTAGTTAGGGAGAGCCAACTGAGACACCCCCCAGGAGCCAAACCAAGACGGATGTCCCACAATGGGGCTACAGACAAACTGAGACCACTGAAGGAGCCAAACCAAGACAGACACCCTATGCTGGAGCTATAAACAGACATCCCACCATGAGACTACAGATAGATACCCCACCATGGGGCTTCTGAACCAGTCTGGAGAAGGAAAAGCCATTGGCAGTGCCTAGAATACTCACTAACCCAGACACCCCACAATGGGGCTGCAGATAGACACCCCACTATGTGGCTACAGACAGATACCCTGTGATAGGGCTACAGTTAAGAGATGTCTTCCCCGGATTATTTCTCTAATGCAAATAAATACATACATGTTCGGTCGGCAGTGTCCTGCCAGTAGAGATGGTAACAGAGTCAGCCCCCAGTCCAAGAGAACTAGGTGGCCACTTGGGCCAGCCTCTGGATCCATCGCTGGAACGGGGGGCTACCAAACTATGGGTATGCAGCCACAAGGGCAATCCTGGACGAGCCCCCAAATTTGTAACTGCCCAATGGGTTCACCTTTCCCACTGCCTAGACAGAGCCAACTTATCAAGGCAAGGGAATTGCAATAGAGAAAGATTAATTTACACAGAGCTAGCTGTACAGGAGACTGGATTTTTATTATTATTCAAATCAGTCTCCAGAATAGACATTTAATTAGGAGAGAGGATATTTTCTTTTTCCTACAAACTCCCATTACAATCCTTGGAAATTTAGTATTCACTTGCTGATGCAAGTTTTATGTTTCCTCTTGAGATTACTTGAAAAAGAAAGTTATTTTAACTACGTAGAAACAAAGAGATGGAATTATGCTTTAGTGAATGTACACAACTTCCAGAGGTTTTCACAGTTGTTTCATAATAGCCTGATATTAACCCTGTGAAGTACATTCTTCACACTGACATTTTACAGCATAGAAACCTGAGGCTAAGAAACAACAAACTCATTACAGTTCACATTGACAAGTCCTGAGACATCTGTCCTGGTAATTATTTTCTTTTGCCTTGGACTTTCATGGCTTCAGTTGCTACTTAAACTATCCCAAATTTGTATTTCTAGCCTAGACGTATATCTCTTAAGCTCAAGAGAAACATTCTCAACTGTTAATAATCATGGTCACTGGAAAACCACACTGGCACCTCAAAGTCTGATCCTTTCTTTCCTATTCCTGACTCCAACTTCATATTTCAATAACTTGCGATGACTAACTTCTTCCTCACACTCCTGTATTCAATCATGAAGTCCTTTTGTCTCTTAATCCTAAATATTATTACATCCAAATATTTATCTCCACTCCTACTGCTACTACTGTAGTACAGGTCACCAAATCTTTTATTTCAAGTACTACCAAACAGCTTTTTCTCTCTGTTTCTGGACTTATTTGCTTAAAATGCTTTTCTACAATATAGGCAGCAGCATTCTCAAAACGCCTATCTGATTGGGTCACTCCTGTCTTTTAAGCCTTTCCGTCAAATCCTATAAAACTTCTTTAGAAAGTATTTATAAAGCCTCCCATCATTTAGGCCCTGCCTAGATCTACAGCCTTACCAAGATGCCTCTCACACTCAGCATGCCTGCCAGGTAAAATGAAATTCTACTCATTTCTAGAAGTATCTATACTCGTACATCTCCAAACTTTCATCTATGAAGCTTACCTTACCTGGAATATACTTTTCTGCATATCCACACTTTTTTGCCCAAATGCTAGGGCTAAATTTCAGTCCTCCTACTCATCTTTCAGTTTTCATTTAATCTTTATATCTTCAAAAGACATGTAAGACTGCTAAAGTAGGTTAGGCACTTTGGTATTAGTTTGTCTAGCTCATTAATTTATTCTTTGACTTATTTGACAAAGGGTTATCTATAAATGCAGTAAAAAAAAAAAAAGTGGTTAAGAACACAAAGTCTGAAGCAAGAGCGCCTGGGTTTAATCTAGACTTGGCCCCTGTTGGCAGTGAAAGTTTATAGAAGTTGCTCTACATCTCTTTATCTCAGTTTCTCAATCTTTAAAAAGGGAAATATTATGGTACTTTCCTCAAACAACTTTTGAGGATTAACAAATATGTCTGTACATAAAACTGTGTCGAACACAGAGTATGTGACATGCTCACCCTCTAAATACCATTGCTATTTGCCAGACACAGTATGAAGCACTCAGATGTGATGACAAGAGAGGCAAGGTTCCTGCTCTTGTGGAATTTATACTCTAGTGGGAAAAAAAGAGATATCGAAAAACCCCATATAAATGATATAAATACCAACATGTCAACTGCTATGAAATAAAAGTACAGGCTGCATGAAGTCTAGGATAGGGCTATCCAATGTAGGCAAAAGCTTTTCTTGGAAAGTGACATTTATCCTGAGACCTGAAGACTGGGTGGAATTCAGTCAAGCAACGCAGGGAAGAAAATAGTAACAGAAGAGAAAAGCAACCCAGAAGGAGATCCTGTACTTTGTCCCTCACAGCACTCATGATGCTTTATTTTCATTATTTTTGTGGTACCTACTGGCCAGCTTCCACCTGACCCTGCACAGAAAAAAAAAAAGAAATAAAATCTTAAAGCTATGAACTCAATAACTGTAGCTCCCTTACAGCCCTGTTCTATTCTCAGCAATATGTGCATATCCAGCAAATGGGAGTTAATTCATGTTAAATCCTTGATATCCATCTATTGATCAAAGAGTTATCAAAAGGTTTAATTCAACAGCTCACTATTAAATAATTAGAGGGATAAATATCTTTGAAAGAGGAGGTTATACTTTTCCTATACTTTGTATAGGAAAGACTATTATATACATTTTCCATTTTTTTTGAGATGGAGTTTCGCTCTTGTTGCCCAGGCTGGAGTTCAATGGTGCAATCTTGGCTCACTGCAACCTCTGTCTCCTGTGTTCAAGTGATTCTCCTGCCTCAGCCTCCCGAGTAGCTGGGATTACAGATGCATGCCACCATCCCTGGCTATTTTTTAATTTTAATTTTTTATTTTTAATGGAGATGGGGTTTTGCCATGTTGGCCAGGCTAGTCTCGAACTCCTGACCTCAGGTGATCCGCCTACCTCAGCCTCCCAAAGTGCTGGGATTACAGACATGAGCCACTGCCCCTGGCTTATTATGTACATTTTAATGTGGGCATACAAGCAGCCCAAGTCTGCACTGTCATGCTTCTAATGCCTTCATTTCTTACAGCAGCATAGCTCTCTGCCAGTAGCCATCTCAAACTATCTGATGCAGGCACTAATGTTCTTTCTGGCCACACTAGCATACAACTTTATTTATAGATAAGTATCTAGGCTGGGAAATGTGCCAACAACTTTCATTATCAGCCAAAGAAAAATTATCAGCAAAGTCTAAATTTTAAATTGAACCAGCTAAGAAAAGATTCTAATTGTCGTCTTTATCCCCAAAGAAATGAGTAGCTTTGAACCTGATTCAGCTAAGATACTGAGTAAAAGGGTGGATACAATTTACTCCAATGTGTATTAGCAGATAATGGTGGGGTTCTATTTTTGTTCCCTAGAGGCTGTATGGGCTTATTTACATTCATCTCTGAAAAATGAAAAGCATCCTTGAAAAGAGTGCAGTTCCTGGATCAAAAACATTTGGTTCTGGGGGCCCCATTTCTTATCAGCATTGCTTCTCTCAGTGAGAATATTCATGTTAACAACGTTCTGGGAGTTAGCCGACAGTTTCCTACATATTAAAACTGGTTAAGGAACTGGGACAAAGATTCCAACCAGTAGCAACCATTAAACTCTATCTTTCAGCAGCTAGATTAGAATAATCATTTGAAGCTGAGAGACAATGCTTGTTTGCTTTTGCATTAGAGGAAAGGAGGAGGAATAGGAGCAGATATGAAGAAAAAAATGCCTACTGTTTTCTTGTATAATCTGTGAATGTAATTGTATTGCTAGAAAGAAGAAAATTAATTTTTTCTGAAAGATTTTTAAGCTCTTTGTCAAGACTATGATTCTGAGATTTGCCCTGAAGAAAAGTGCAGCTGTTTGTTTAAGCAATGAAGCTTCCATATGTTTCATCTTGGTTTAAGGATGCAGTTTTTATAATAAAACCACAAGGCAATGTTTATTGAAAGCACAAAATAGTTCTACTTATCACCCAAATAAAATATAGATAAAATATAGATTAAAACAACAAGCCTAGAAAGATAGGATTTTACACAATCCAGTGTCACTTCATTTGCAAAATTTTCATTTGAAATGCCTCTAACACTTTCAAAATAATTATGTGGGCTGAAAACTATTCACAGAGCTGAATCCGATCTTAGATAATAGTATCTAGGAAGACACAAAAAGCAAATTAACTTGCATAGACATGTTTGCAGTCAGATATTCTCTCTCAAATGATAAACAAAAGAGACTTTGCTGCGGCAAATCACAATTCCTTTAAGAATATGTATGACATTTGATAGAATTAAATTTTGGAAGAATATGAAAGAAATAAATCTAAATAAGTTGCTGGAATCCTTCAGTTATATAAAACTGCACCTTTAAAATTATTATTTTTCCAGAACAGCAGTGTTATCCTTAAAAACTTACGTGGGGTGAAGGAGCTTCTCTTAGAAGTTGATTGTGTTTTGTATATTTCTCTGATTTTCTATAACAGCTGAGTTGCCTCTAAAGTAGCATTTTAAAAACTGGTTTGATTTTGTTTATAATTCAATTACAAAAAGTAATTCATAGCATTAGCCAAGCATAGGACACATTATCCCCAGTGTGCATGTGTATGTGTAGAGTATATGTTGTGTTCAGGGAAGCTAATCATTGTTAAAATTTTAGAAACATATGTTAAAATATTTTATTTGAGAAATAAAAAACTCTGCAGATCATTCCTTTTAAATTCCTTTCAAATATTTGCTCTTGACTCTTAATTTGTGCTCCTGTCGTATTTGTCCTGCAATTTTGTGGTGACAGACCCCTTCCAGAATCTGAATACCATGGACCCTCTCTCTGAGTGCACAAAAGCAAACACAGACAATATTATATATAACTGCGGACTGACTCTCTGAACATTGTTTTTGGATTGTAGTTACAAAATCTTATCTTGATACCTTTCCTTGTAAAAGAGTTCCTTTTAAGTTAATATGTTGAATCACAAAAATTTTCTTCTCAGAATGAGTTTAAAGATTATCTAATCCAATTTCTTTAAAGTCCATAGAGAAAAGATGATTTCTCCAAGGATACATAGTTAATAAGTACCAGGGTTGCTATTAGAATGCAAGTCTCCTGGCTATTTTTTCCAAGGCTCTTTCAATTAAGGTAGGCATTTAGATCCTAAGAATATGCTGTAGCGCTAAGTGACTAATAAAGAAAAAAAAGCTAAAGTAGATTTAAAACTGCAAATATCTCCATCTCTGTAAGAGCCATCCTGCTGAGTAATAGTTGTTTCCCCTGTGATTTCATAAACACCAGTATAAATAAAGAGCCTGTTTCTTGCTTTGCTAGACAAATCCTGTAGGGCTAATCTGAGCACAGAGTCTCCATTAACTTCAAAGAGACCTTAGCTCTTGGTTCAACTCTGCAGGGATGCTGAGCAAGATAAGATGCAGGCCAATGCCTTTGAGATGAAAACTGGAAAGAAATTACTATATGACACTTAGTTGAATAACAAGAAAAATGCTTTCCATCCCTACACAGTGCTAAATTTCTCCGACAATCTCCCTTAATCTCCAGACACTTGGGGCTCATTCTTTCACAATATTGTTTCTACCACAACAATAAAATCTGGGTTATTTCATCTCAGAGAAACTTGAATACAATTTATTAAGCGGTAATTGTGTTACCTACACTATTGATTTGGGCACTCATCCCATGAGAATCTTGGCTAGTGATGCAGTTTGCTTGAGCTGCATTGCCTGACGTTACTCTTATAGGCACATTGCTGTAAAAGGCTTCTATTTCTTTCAAAGAAAGGTAAGTACAAATATTTCTTAGGAAGTTAATGTTCTCACCAGGAAGCTAGCTCTGGGCCTATGAGCTACCTGGCCATGGGCACAAGAGTTCAATTTCAAGAGCAGGTGCTTTTTAATAAAGAATGGCTGGTCAAAGACAAAGTTAACAGTGGAACAATTCTCTGGCTCCTTTTCTCCATTTAATTAAATTAGATCAAATGAAAAATTAAAATAAATATCTTAGTTAACTCCCCAAATTATTCAACGAGTAAAAATCTAAGTATAGTGGTTCTCAAATTGCAATAGGGGAAATCACTGAGGAGTGTTGTTTAAAATCAGATTTTGATTCAGTAGGTCTGGGGTGGGCCTGGAGAGTCTGAATTTCTAGCAAGCTCCTAGGGATCACTGACCACATGTTGAGAAGCAGGATTTAGGGTATCTGTAGGCTAAGAAAATCAATTATGAAAATTTGTTAAAATAAATACTAATGCTTATCAAGTACCTAATATGTTCCAGACACTTTACCTATATTATGCCCAATACAAAACCTACCTGAAGAGTATGTCACTGCCCCCATTTTACAGATAATAAAGAATGAGGCTTACAAAGAAGAAATACAATGTGAATATGGTAAACTAGTTACAAATATGTAGAACTGGGGTTTAAGTTTAAGGTCATCTGGCTCAACACAGCTTCATTCATGTATTCATTAAACAAATTTTGAATGTAATGTCTTCATTGGGTGATTTCTTAAGCAGGCCACTAAAAGAACTAACCATAAAGGAAATAATTTATAAATTGCAATCTATTAAAATTAGGAATTTTTGTTCATCCAAAGATATTATTAAGTGAGAAAAAAAGGCAATTCACAGAGTGGAAGAAAATATTAGCAATACATATACCTGGCAAAGAAATTGTGTCTCAAATATATATGGCTATATATACATATAAGCTACCATAAAAATTATAAAAAAGGCAATTTAATAGAAAATGGTCAAAATATGGAATAACATTTCATAAAATATTATATCCAAAAGGTCCACAAATGTGAAAATTTTCTCACCATTTTTACTACCAGGGGAATGCAAATTAAAACAAGAATGTAACACCATCATTTGCCAATCAAAATAAATAAGTAAAATATTTAAAATGGACAGAATTTTGCCTTAGAGAGCATATAGAGTAATTGATACTCTCATGCATTGCTGATAAGTTTTCAAATTGTATATCTACTTTGAAAAACCCTTTTGGCATTATCTAATAAGCTCAATTTATACATACTCTATGATCAAGCAATTACACTTCTAGGTATTGACTCAACAGTAATATGTGTGCCAAATGCTAGTTTTCTTGTACTAGCTTCATAGTTTGAGGTCTTAGACTTAAGTCTTTAATCCATTTATATTTTATTTTTGTAGACGGTGACAGATAGGATCTAGTTTCATTATTCTGCATATGGATATCCAGTTTTCTCAATATCATTTATTGAAGAGACTTTTTCCCAGTCTATGCTTTTGGCATCAGTTTTGAAAGTGAGTTCACTAGAGGTGTGTGGATTTGTTTGTGGGGTCTCTATTATGTTTAATTGGTCTATGTTTCTGTTTTTATGCCAGTACCATGCTATTTTGGTTACTATATCTGTAGCATAACTTGAAGTCATGTAGTACAACTTCCTCTGGCTTTGTTCTTTTTGCTCAGGATAACTTTGGCTCTTCTGGGTTTTCTGTAGTTCCATATAAATTTTATGATTCTTTTCTATTTCTTTGAAGAATGTCATTGGTATTTTGATAAGGATTGCATTGAATCTGTAGATTGCTTTGAGTAGTATTGAATATTTGAACAATATTGATTCTTCCAATCTATGAACATGGAATTTCTTTCCATTTTTGCTTATGTCTTCCTCAATTTCTTTCAGCAGTTTTACTATTTTCATTGCACAGATCTTTTACTTCTTCAGTTAATTTAATTCTGAGGTATTTAATTTTATTTGTTGTTATTATAAATGGGATTACTTTTTAAATTCTTTTTGAGATTGTTCACTGTTGGTATATAGAAATGTTACTGATTTTTAAATGTTGATTTTGTATCTTGCAAATTTACTGAATGCATTTATCAGTTCTAATAGTACTTTTGTGCAGCTTTTAGGTTTTTCCAAGTATAAGATCAGAACATCTGCAAAGATAATTTGACTTCTTACTTTCCAATTTAGATGTCACTTATTCCTTTTTCTTGTCTAATTGTTATGGCTAGTATTTCCAGTACTACGTTGAATAATAGTGGCTAAAGTGGGCATCCTTGTTGTGTTCCAGATCTTAGAGGAGAGGCTTTCAAATTTGTCCTATTCAGTATAACACTATCTGTAAGTCTGTCATACATGGCTTTTATTATGTTGATGTATGTTCCTTCTATACCCAGCTTTTTGAGGGTTTTTATTACATAGAGATGTTGATTATGTAGAGATGTCTATTACAGAGAGATGATAAAAAGAATTTTATCAAATGCTTTTTCAGAATCAACTGAAATGATCAGATGATTTTTGACCTTCATTCTGTTGATATGATGTATCATATTAATTGATAGTGTATGTTAATTGATCTGTGTATGTTAATTGATATGTGTATGTTGCATCCCTGGGATAGTCCCACTTGGTAGTGATCAATGATGCTTTCAATGTATTATTGAATTTAGATTGCTAGTATTTTGTTGATGATTTTACCATTAATATTCGTCAGAGATACTGGCCTGTAATTTTCTTTTTTTAATGAGTATTTGTCTGGTTATGGTATCAGGTTAATATTGGCTTTATAGAATGAGTTTGGAAGTATTCCCTCTTCCTGTATTTTCTGAAATAGTTCTAGCAGGATTGGTATTATTTCCCCTTTAAATGTTTGGTGGAAGTCAGCAGTGAATTCATAGGGCCCCAGGCTTTTCTTTACTGGAAGACTTATTACAGCTTCCATCTCGTTACTTGTTAATGGTCTGTTCAGATTTTGCGTTTCTTCATGGTTCAATCTTGGTAGGTTACATGTGCCTAGAAATGTATCAATTTCCTCTAGATTTTCCTATTTATTGTCATATAGTTGCTCACAGTAGCTGCAAATGGCCCTTTGAATTTCTGTGGCATCAGTTGTAATGTCTCCTTTTTCATTTCTGATTTTTAGACTTCTTCTATTTTTTTCTTCATTAGTATGGTAGAAGTTCTGTCAATTCTGTTTATCTTCTCAAAAACCCAACTTTTGTTTCCTTGATTTTTGTATTGTTTTCTTAACTTCAAATTCATTTATTTCTGCTCTGGTCTTTATTATTTCTTTTCTTCTATTAAATTTGGGTTTGGTTTGCTCTTGCTTTTCTAGTTCTTTAAGATGCATCATTAGGTTATTTATTTGAAGTTTTTCATCTTTTTTGAGGTAGGCATTTATAGCTATAAATTTTCCTCTTAGTACTCCTTTCATTGTATCCCATGGATATTGGTATATTGTGTTTCCATTTTCATTTGTTTCAAGATTTTTTCCAATTTCCTTCTTAATTTCTTCCTTGACTCATTGGTCATTAAGGAACATATTTTTTTAATTTCCATGTGTTTGTATAGTTTACAAAGTTCCTCCTATTATTGATTTCTAGTTTAATTCCATTGTGGTCAGAGAAGATGGATGATATTATTTCAATTTTTTTGAATGTTTTAAGACTTGTTTTGTGACCTAACATATGGTCTATCCTTGACAATGATCCATGTGCTGAGGAGAAGAATGTGTATTGTGCAGCCACTGGATGAAATGTTCTGTAAATACTTATTGGGTCCATTTGTTCTACAGTGCAGACTAATTCAAACATTTCTTTGTTTATTTGCTGTTTGGAAGAGGTGCCCAGTGTTGAAAATGGGGTTTGGAGGTCTCCAGCTGTTATTGTGTTGAGGTCTATCTGTCTTTCTTGGACTATCTGTGTCAAATTTTGGTTACGCTTGCTTTATAAAATGAATAGGTATGTATTTTATCTGAAATACTTTTTGTATTATTAAAGATATATAATTCTTAAAATATTTGTAATTTGTCTATGAAAGAATCTTAGTATGAAGAGTTCTTTGTGCAATAGATTTTAATTGGATAATTCATTTAATTAATATATTAAAGTATATTTTAGATTTTTTGTTTCTTCTGGTGTCTATTTTATCTAAACTTTCAACTGTATTCACCAAAATGCATTCAGGCTATTCTTTGATTATCTATCTAATAATACGTCCCTGGCACACCTAATATTGGTAATTTTCCTGTTGCTCTTTTATTCCTGACAATATTTCTGGGGGATGTGAGGGAAGATAGAATATTTTGATTATTTTACTTTTAATTTTTCTGTATCATTATACTTAATGTGTGCCTCTAATAAGCATCAGTTAGATTTTAACTTTGTTTGACAATAATATTTATGTTTTTATAGGAACTTTATTTATATTTAATATAATTACTGTATAATTTGGATTCAAATCTCCATTTTTCTATTTATTTTCTATTTTTCCTAGCTGCTCTAATTCTGTTTTAATTCTTTCTGGATTTATTTTTATCAAGATCACTATTATTATTATTCCATTTGACTATTAAATTTTTAATTATATATCTTTATATGTTGCTTTTGAATAGTTTCTCTGTAAGTTTCAGTATATACCATTGACTTATCAGAGCTCTGATACATTGGAACTCATCACAATACAAAAAACTTAGAATATTTTGTCTCCTTTTAATCTCCTTTCTTTTATGTGATTATTTTATATTATTTAATTATATGTAATTAAATATATAAATTACATATATAAAATATATAAATATATATATATTTTAAACCAGTGTCTTGTCCATTTCAACTGTTATAACAAAGCATATTGAGCTGGGTAGCTTATGAGCAATATAAATGTATTTTCACAGTTCTAGGAGACTGAGAAATCCAAGATCAAGGAGCTGGCAGAATCTGGTGTCTGGTGAAAGCCTATTCTCTTTCTGAGACAGTGTCTTCTCACTGTGTCCTCACTTGGTGGAAGAGCTTGCTCTCTGGGGCCTCATTTATAAAGGCACTAATCCTAATCATGGGGACCCTGCCCACATGACTCAATCACCTCCCAATGTCCCCTTCTTCTAATGCCATCACCTTGGGGATTAGGATTTCAACATATGAATTTGGGGAGGAAACGAACATTCAGACTACAGCAATGAGCAAACATTACTTTTATTTGACATGGCCGATAGGCATTAAGTTTACACATATATTTATTTTACAAAAATTTTTAGTTCTTTCTGCTTTTCTGATTTGCATCAGGGATCTATTTTTTTCTGCTTTACACATTGCCCTTAGTATTTCTTTAGCTGCTGGTCTGCTACCAAAGAGTAATCTCAATTTTGTCTTTAAGTGTCTTTGTTTTATTTTTATATTTTAAGGCGATTTCAGAAGGTGTAGAATTCACGTTGGAAGTTATTTTATTCCAGAAACTTGAAGCTGTTGTTTCAATGTGGTTTTGTTTCTACAGTAACACATATGAAAAGTGTATTGCTCCCTTGAAAGTGATGTCTCCCCTTTTCATTTCTTGTGATTTAAATTGTTTCCTTCTGTCTTTGCTTTTCAGCATATTGACTATGGTGTGCCTAGTATTGTTCTTTATATTTATCCTGCTTGATGTTCACAGTTTCTTTAAATCTATGGTTTAATGTATTTCCTCGGTTTTGAAAAATTGTCAGTCAGTAGCAATTCAAATACCACTCTGATACATTTTCTCTTCCCTCTACATCTAAAACTCTCATTATATTTTTTAGATCTTTTAATTGTATAAAAAAGTCTACTCTTTTATGTGTTTTCCATCATTTTTAGTTTCTTATCTCAATCTAACATTCTGCACTGATTTATCTCTCATTTCAGTAATTTTGTATTTTGTTATGTCTTACTTGCTGTTTAGCCTAAATTTTAATCTCCAATTTCAGTTTTCCTCTTTTCAGTTTTAGGATATTCATCTGGTTCTATTTTTGTGAATTTTAGTGAAGAGATTCTTCATTTTGTCATCTCTTTACACATGTTTGTCATAATTATTTTAAAGTCTTATTTCCTATAACTACAATGTCTGAATCACTTGCAGTTCTTCTTTTATTGTCTTTTTTTTTTCCCATTCAGTGTTTGCTCACTTTGTCCTATTTTAATCAGGAATTGCGAATCCTAGACATTGTGTAGGAAAGTTTGTAGAGGCTCTCAATGATGTTATTTTCCTCTAGAGATAATTTAAATTTCTCCTGGCAGACTGTTGATTGGAGAAAGATGAAGCAAATTACATTTTAAATACTTTTATTTATGAATAATATGCTGTCACTGTGAGAAAAACACAAAGATGCTGAATGTTTTTGAAAATCGTATTTTACCACTGTTTATACATGAATTTGAAGGCGTATCCTTCAGCTTATTTTGAAATTTAATTTAAATGGCTTTCATAACTGAAAACTATCCCAACAAAATATAAAATGACACCACTGGAAGGAGTGCATCATTGTATTCACGTACAAAATATGATTCTGTATGTTTACTATCTTGCATGACCTAAATTACAGGAGAGATTGAAGTAGAGATAAAAGTTAAGATAAAATTGCTGGGTTAGAAAAACACTAGAAAATATCCAGAGCCGTAAGACAGAATCTCTGGGGTTACATACTTCACTGGACAGATTTTATGTCTATGTCTACTAAAAAAAAAAAATCTGTACGTTAGAATGTAACTTCACCATGTCTGGCATCCTTTAATCAATAGTAAGCAGTGACATGATCTAAGGTGTTGTGTTGAGTGGTCTCGGGATTTTAGTAAAGCAACTCCCCTAGGGCAACTTCTCTCCTTGGGTTTAATTATCATCAAAGATGAGTCTGAGGCTGATGTCCAAATAGTTGATTCTGGCAGTGCTTTTACAAAATGGATAGTGGGGAGATGATGGTAGCGTGGACCAGACAGCCAGGGTGTTAGGTTACTCGCTGGCCAGAGTCTCTGTCTAGTGACCATTCTCAGAATTTGGGGAATTCTCCTCCCTTTCTTTCACCTGTAATTAAGTCTGGTTATGTTTTTCTTTCATGAAGGGAGTTTAAACTATTCTTGTAAAGATGAGCTTTATTTTAAGGTTTATGATTGTTGTATCTGTGATAAGATGGTCTTATCTCCTGGAAATCACCAGGCCAGATTACAACAGACTACTAAGTAAAGTGTAGTGTCATCCCTGACTGAAAGATGTTTGCATGGGCCTATGGCTATCATTAATCATATAGCCACCATTATTTCTTATAGTTTACTTACTACATAAGGACATTCACCTAGGTAATCTTTGGGTGGCCTTCATCTCTGTATGGCATTGAAAATGCATGCCACCCAACATATCACTTTATTTCCGACTTTTATATAAGTTTTCTGACAGTGGTATATGATCAAAAATTTTGAAGGAATAAACGAGGCCCAAAAGTAAAAGCATGTATAAACCTACCATTTTTTCTCTAATTTTCTGTAGTTAAAAGTACATCCTCAACTCCCTCACATAGGTATTGATAACATCACATTTTTAACAGCATGAGGTAGTTTAAAAAATACTTTCTTATTTGAACTGAAGAAAATGTCGCTGTTAAGACATCAAACATATCAATAAAATATTAACTAAAGAGCACAATAAAGAAGGAAACTTATAACAGCAATACATCAATGTATGTACCCATGCTGTACTAGGCAAAGTCTCAAGTTAAGGCAAAATAAAATTGAAGGTCGGAAACCTTCACTGTAGCAGTTGTCTGCTTTGCTAAATTATCCAGTTCCAGCTTTCAATTCTCCCATCTGTGTAGATAATATTTGTGTATAGTATGGCTCAGTAAATTCTGCTTGAAACAAACTTATCATCTTCCAAATATTAAACTAAAACAAACAAAAAATCTTTTAGAAAAAAAAAGATTGTCTACAAAGCTACTAGCCATTTTTCTTCAAGGACAATTTTTTTTCCTGTTTTTCTTCATCTACGTGTTTTGCAGTAGATCACATTTACACTCATAAAAATATTCATGAATTCATAGACTACTGAATGTTTAGTACTGAAATATTTAGAGCAAAATCAGACTTTTTTTTGTAAGGATCTGGTTGCAAACATTCACTTCACACATATTCTTGTCTTTTCCTATTTGCTAAGGTTTTGATATTTTTACCAGTGAAGTTTTAGAAATCATTAATAAGCTAAAAAGAACATTCTATTCTAAGAGTCATTGTAACTCTTATCATCTTAATTCTGAGTCACTATTTTCTTTTCTAGCCATCAACCTGTAATGTGGGACAGAACTCTTGATAGCTTTGTTTGAGTAATTCTTTCTTTTCATAATGTTGTTGAGCTGAGAGGGACTTTGGAAAATATCTTTTCCAATTACTTTATTTTTTTTACTTGAAATTTTTCTATTTAATATTATGCAAGGTATAATTATTTTGGTTCTTGCCAGAATACTAGTAGAATGGTGAGTTTTACGTGTTAGTTTGGCAAGGCTGTAGTCCTTGGTTATTCAATCAAACACTAAATTAGGTATTTCTGTGAAATACTCTGTAGATGTGATTAAAGTTTATAGTAAACTGTAATCTTCAAGTAAGAAAGACTACCCTGGATAATCAGTCAAATGAAGAACTGAGGCTCTACTGAAGAAGAACAAATTCAGCCCATGGACTGGACTGCAGCTTCATCTGGTGACCAGGGTTCCAACCTCCCCTTCCTTCAGACATGCTCCCCAGCCCCAACAATTCTGTAAGCCAATTCTTCATAATAAATCTCTCTCTCTCTCTCTCTCTCTCTCCCTCTCTATTATACCCCCCATCAACTGATACAGCTAATAATATAAAACACAATTATACGACACAGATTTACATTGAGGCAATGCAAACAAAAAACAAATCATTATCCCCTCTAAGAATTCCCTTTCCTTTGACAAGCTAGTTTTAAAGATCCTTAAAATGACTTAACATTAGCAAGGCATTACATTAAATACTACAAAGGATGCACAACCTCAAGGTTTTATAAGTATAAATAGTATCAACAAACAGTAAACAAGATGTCAAAAAGAAAAGCTTAGAACTGGAAGTGTAAAATAATCCATCCAAACATAGAGTTATTGAATAGCCCAGAACAACCTAGAATTATAATTGTTATTGTGGGGTATTCATTTGATTGCTTTACTAAAAAGTACCTTAAATGAACATATTCTCTAGCATTTTCATATAAATATTGCTTCTTGTTTTTTATTGAGGGAGTGGTTGGCATATTTTATTTCCCTATTTAGGGCTAATTTTTAATTTTTCAATTAACTGACAACTTCAACTACATAGCAAAATAGCATCTAGTCCCTGCAAGCAGTCATATGCCTAAGGCATTGAACCAGAAATGTATATGATGCATTGCTTATCTCCTCTTTCCAGTTGAGTTTTTCAAATAATTTATTCCTGGAAGACTACTTTTTGCATTCTCTTTGATTAGTGAGATTGAGGATAAATTAACAGGCAAGTAGAAGTTCCAGTTCAACCTACTACTAATTAGATGATATTTCCTTTTTTTTACAGAAGAGAAGTAATTGAATCATTTAAAGAAAAACAGAACTTAATAATGTGGCTCCTAGAAAACAGCAAGTACACAAAGTCAAGTGACTTAAGGCAACACAACATGTGGCATTTTTTGGGAGCAAAGGTTCTAAACATTTTACAAAATTCAGACAAATAATTATATAAGGAAAAGTCTGGAAAACAATTATCCACTATTTTATTCAGTAAGTATTTATTGCTTATTAAGTGCCATACATTATGTGATATCTGCTGAACAAGCAAAGATGGCCACTACCCTCATGGAAATTTTAGAATCAACGTATAAATACAAATAAGATATAAATAAATTGACCACACATACATATAACTAGTGATGATAAACTTATGAAATAGAAAAACACAGAGTAGCCTCATTTAAGGTGACATATGAATGATGTACAGGAGCCCATGAGACTCTTTTGGAAGAGGGAGGAGCTTGACAAACTCAAGTGAAAAGCCCAGTGCATTTGGCAAATGCGGCACAAGGGAGGAGGTGCTTTGGTAAGCAGCTCAATCTAGCTTGTTCACAATCGCCTCTGTTAGATGCAACGCTGCAATCAAGGTCAACAAATCTGTCAAAATTTAACAATTTCCTTATATCAACTTCCTAAACGTCAAGTCTAAGATTATGAGATATATATATTATTTCATATAAGATTTTTTTTCCACAATCTCAAATTGCCCGAAGAAAGGGTTAGTTTAGTACTCACTAGTAAAAATTGGGTGATACCTGATACCTGATGGATTTTGTTGACATTTTGTTTCATGTTAAAGAGAAAAATTTTATCCCCAAAAGCCAAATAGAAGAAAAAATAGTCCTGCAGTCTTTCTAAAACTAGCTTGCATATATATATATATATAGAGAGAGAGAGAGAGTCATATATATAGACATATATAGTCATATATATAGAGTCATATATAGAGTCATATATAGTCATATGTATATAGTCATATATATATAGTCATATATATAGTCATACATAAATATATAGTCATATATATATATATATATATATATATATATATATATATATATATATAGTCTGGCTCTATCACCCAGGCTGGAGTGCAGTGGTATGATCTCTGCTCACTGAAACCTCTACCTCCCAGGCTCAAGCGATCCTCCCACCTCAGCCTCCCAAGTAGCTGGAACCACAGGCACACACCATCACTCCCAGCTAATTTTTATTTTTTTGTAGAGAAGGTGTTTCACCATGTTACCCAGGCTGGTCTCAAATTCGTGAGCTCAAGCAACCCGCCCTCCTAGGCCTCCCAAAGTGCTGTTATTGCAGGCATGATCCACCCAACTCAGCCCTACCTTGCATTTGTAACACATAAAATTTTGATGAACCCATGCCACCCTGATCCCTGAATTATATCCCTTTGCACCCATAAAATCTGGTTTTCACAATTATTCTGAGTTCCATTAAAATATTCTCATGAAATGCCATGTGGATACCACGTACCTTCTTACCTGTTCAATTTGCTTATCCATCTTTGCTTTCTGAGAGGTGCTATTTATTTATCTTCCTACAATATCTTCTATTTTCTAATGTTGTTTTCACTGAAATTTGAGTATTCAATACAAAAAGCCCAGAGACAGAATTGCTGGCAACAGATGGTTCTCAAAACGTAGTCTCAGACCAACAGTTTGAGAATCACCTAGGAACTTAGAGATACAAATTCCCAGCTCCACTCTAGAACAACTGAGTCAGAAACTCTGGGGTGGGGCCCAGCAATCTGTGCTTTAATAAGCCATCCTTTGGGTGATTCTGATTTATGCGAAGGTTTCAGGATTATTGGATGCCATAGTACCAACTGCAATTTAAGGTTTATGAAAGCACCTGCCTTGGGGTCAAACCACTTTATGGCTGTGTGATCTTGGAAGAGGATCTCAACTTCTCTAAACCTCATTGTTCAATGGAAATAATAATTGTAATATTTAAATGAATTAATTTATATAAAGCAAGAAGCATAGTGCATGATAAACAGGTAGCTCTTATTGTAGAGATTACAACCATGATAATGATAATGACGGATGTGCAAATTAAAAAAAACTTTTATGCTGCATTTTTCACTTTCAATTTATACTTGCCCCAATACATCTCTTTTATGTATATTAAGCTTCTTTTCTGATACAAGTAATGGTGTAAGGTGGTGGGAAGGAGCACAAGCTCTGGGGCCAGGCAGTCCGGATAGAAATCTCTGTTCCACCTACAGTTTTAGATTTAGCAAATAAAATATAGGATATGTAGGTAAATTTGAATTTCGGATAGTGAATATTTTTAAGTTTAATTATACCCAATGAAATATTTAGAACACACATAAAAATTTGTTTATCTGAAGTTAAAATTTACCTGGGGACCTGTATTTTATCAAGCAACCCTCCCTGCACCACTTATAACTGTGAGGTATTACCAAGTTACTTAACCTCTCTGTGTCCATTTCCTCATCATTAACAAATGAATAATAATAGTATCTACAGTTTAGATTTGCTGTGAAGAATATAAACTACGTAGGTATTATACCTATACTTGTGTGTACATATATATTATATATAAAACAAATACCACCCTGGAAATAGTACTCAGTCTAATATATTGTTGTTAATTACTCATAAAACCTAACCAGGTTTTTATTTTAAACCATGACAAGGCCTCTAATTTATTCTTCTGAAAACAATGCTTAGGAATCTTGCAGAGTAGAGGATATTGGTTAGTACAGGAAACACTTACACTTTAGTAATACAACTAGATACTTGTAAAATATGTAATTCTATTGCAGTAGAATTCATTAGCATATAAATGCTTCTTTCAACAAGAGAAACAAGAACACAGACTTCATAACTGCTGCATATAAAAACTTTTTTACATCTATTTCTAAAGCCTGACAGTCATTATGCCAAATAACCAAAGCTTTTACTAAACTCTTACAGATTTTTTTTGAATTCTAATGAATTTCAAAAGCAGCCCTATAAAATAACTAGTACTAGGTAAGTTATTTTTCATAGAACAAAAACAACCTTGAAGATTTTGAGGTTTTCACAGTTTATTTCCTTTGGATGCATTTACTGTGAGAGGTGAAAATCTATAGCTGAGTTGTTAGGTTAGGTAATAATTTTTACATCACATGTTTTAAAGCTGGGAATAGGATCTGTGGGTTTTATTTTCATTTGTCTTTTTTTCTCTGGTAGGAAAATTTGTCAAGAATACCTTTTTAGAAAACATTTTTTAGAGCAGCTTTAGGTTCATGGCAAGTTCAAGAGAAAGGTAAAAAGAATTCCTATATCTATCCTCTCCCCACAAAAACATGTACAGTCTCCCCAGTTACCAACACTCCCCACCACAGGTGGTACATTTGTTACAACTGATGAACCTACACAGACACATCATTACCACTGAAAACCTATAGTTTTCATTAAGGTTCACTCTTGGTGTCTTATAATCTATCAGTTTGGACGAATGAATAATGACATGTGTCCACCATTATAGTGGATATGCCACATTTTCCCTCCCTTAAAAATCCTCCTTGTTCTGCCTATTCATCCCTCCCTCCTTCCCTCAAGCCCTGGCAACCACTGATCTCTTTATTGCTGCCACAGTTTTGCCTATTCCAGAATTTCATATACACGTGGTTGGAATCATACATTGTGTAGCCTTTCACACTGGCATCTTTAACTTAGTAATATGCCTTCAAGGTTCTTCCATGTCTTTTCATGGCCTGATGGCTCATTTCTTTTTAGCACTGAGTAATTTTCTCTTATCTAGATGTATCACAGTTTATCCATTCACCTATTG
Source organism: Homo sapiens (assembly GCF_000001405.40). Lineage (NCBI taxonomy): Eukaryota > Metazoa > Chordata > Mammalia > Primates > Hominidae > Homo > Homo sapiens. The sequence goes on along the minus strand of NC_000011.10, from coordinate 104,471,538 downwards.
AAGGACAAGTTGGTTACTTTCATGTTTTGGTAATTATGAATAAAGCTACTATAAATATTTGTGTGAAGGTTTTTGCACGGACATGTTTTCAACTCCTTGGCGTGTGATTGCTGTTTTGCATGTTAAAACTATGTATGTTTAAAAAAATAGGTCAAATACTTGCATAGACCCCTCAGCAAAGAAGATATATAGATGGCAAATAAGCACAAGAAAAGATGCTCCGTATCGTATGTCATCAGGGAAATCCATATTCAGACAACAGTGAGAGAACACCACACACCTACTATGGCCAAACTACATTATAGCCAATATGTGAACACTGACAATGGCAAATGCTGGAAAGGATATGAAGCAATGAACAAGTTCATTCATTGCTGGTTGGAATACAAAATGGTACAGTCACTTTGCATCTTCACAGCTTGATGATTTCCCACTTCTTTATGTTGGTAAGTCCTGGTACTAATGGAAATATACAGATGTAAAAATATTATACTAAATGAAGATGTCTATTATTTGGAAATAGTGTACTTCATTTTGACATATTCATTTTTCTCTAATTTGTATCATAGACTTTGGTATGATTGAAGTTAAATGTCACATCTTTTTAGGAAATAATTATGTAGGAGAAATATCTTTGTAAGATATATTGTCCATAATTTATATAATTTTCATTTATTTTCTCTAGAAGAAAAATAGAAATCCATAATGTACTAAAGTTAGTATTTCATAGGTATGGACTACATTTTTGGTGATATAAATTTCTACATAAACTAGAATAATGATGAACAATGATAAAAATTACTATGTTTTATTACAATTATAAAACTGAATTTCCTGCAAATATTAATTCACTTTACAAATGTTGAGTCAATTGAAACAGAGTGTTTGAGAATCTCTTATCTCAGCATTTAACACCAGTTTCTTTCCTCGATGTCTTGGCTCTTATTAATACCAATGTAATGCTATACATTTACAAAGCTCTTTCAAAAAACCTTATGAAAGAAGGTGGATGTGGTGTCATTTCAGCATCATTTTATAGGGTTCTTTTGTATAAAGTTTAAACTCTTTAATAATGGCCTTATCTCTGCCTTCTTCCATCTCGATCCTCTTCCCTCTTCCTTTCTCCCTCTTCCATACCAGCCCAGCCCACCATCACAGGTACCTCTGTGTGCCTAACACAGAAGCAGACCCACACATACATGTACGTGCACACACACAGGCATGCACATGAACAATTTATCTCTACTGTATCATTTCTCACCATTATTCACCTCTTGGGCTGTGCTCTGGCCAATAAACTTATCCAAATCCCATTGCTCCCTCCAGGAGCATTTTATAGGCTATTTCTCACTCTTTTGAACATTTACCTTCCTATTCACATTAACCTCTCCCACCTACACGTTTTTCTGGTTAGTATCTGCTAAATCTTCAGATTTTAACTTGCTCTGATAGGATTAGAATAACCCTGAATGAAAACAACTAGTGGCTTTTTCTCACAAATTACAGCACCTTCTTACACTTTGTTATGTGGGCACACTATTCTCATATGTTGACTTGCTTATTTCTCTCACTACTTTCCAGCACTTTGAGAATGTGGGCTGCCTTTATTGTTGTACCCCTGTACCACTCACATGGCCCAGCATGTAATAGGCTCTTAAACATTGGATCAACAAATAAAGGATTCATTCAGTCACATACTGAGAAGTCGAGAATAAGAAACTATTTGATTTATACAAGAACCACAAAATGGGGATTATTCCTGAAGCCTTTCAGTGTGGTAGTACTATTACTGAACTAGTTGTGATAGTATCAGGACTGAACTGGGTGTAAAATGTGTTTTTTCATTTTTTTGATTCAGCAATTCATTCCAATTAGGGCCACTATGCTCTGCTTCTTGTCAACAGTCATACGTCTCGGAAAAAATTGTCTTCATATATTGTCTTTATATCTCAACTTCTATGTTTCTTCAATCCACTGTAACCTGGCTTCTATCTTTCACTATACTTAACTTGACTTGTGGCTGATCAGAACTAATCTTTATGTTATTAGATCAACATTCTCACCTTTTGAAATAAACTCTTAGCTCCACAGGTACCACACTTACCTAGTATTTTCTATAACACTGGCTTCCTTTTACTCTCCTTTCCTGGCCTCCTCTCTCTCCAGTCTTTGTGACAGACATATCTCAGGGGTTTAGCCTGAGCCTTCTCCTCTATCAGTACAGAGGACACATATGTCCGACCAACTACTTGTCATCTCCACTTGGCTCTGTCATGGGCTTCTCAATATTGGAAATGCTTCCATGTCCCTGATTCCTATGCCATGTATCCATCTTAGTAATTCTGGAAAACACTAACCCAGGTTTTTCTTCACCATTTTTTCCCATATCATTTATATAAGCCATCACTAAGTCCTGTAGGTTCTATCTTTTAAAAGCATCTTGAATACAACCACTTTTTAAAATTTTTTTAGACAAGTTACATAGCTACCAAATTAGTCCAAGTCCAAGTCACCATGATCTTTCACCTGGACTGTTGCAACAACCTCCTAGCTGATCTCATTTCTACTGGTGGCACTCTTTAATATATTTTCAACATAACAGCTATGCTAGAGGCATCTTTTAAAAATGTAAATCAGATGATTCCTTCTTCTGTTTAAAACCCCTAATGTCCTTAGAATGACCTTAAAACAAACATACTTTTAATAGCTTTCCATCATCTTCCCCTAGCTTACATTCCAGACATTAGTTTAGATGTTTCTCTACCTTGACCACTCTATTTCCTTAAGTTATATTGACTTCTGTGATTTTATTAAACAGACCAAGCTTTTTCTGGCCTCTGGGTCTTTGGTTTTGTTGTTACTGCTGACAAAAATGCTATCTTTCATTCCCTTCTCATGCTCTGGTATTTCTCATCCTTGAGGTCTGAGAGACCATCTGACACTCTATCCTCTTTATTTGTTTTTATTATTTCGTTTACTTGGTAATTATCTAATTTTTTTCTTACTACTTATTTTCTGTCTTTCCTCACCACCCACCTGCAAACGCTAATAATAATATTTGTCACACTTGTAACAGTGAAAATCCAGTCCTTGTATCACAGGCACTCATTAAATACATGATGACTGAATTTGTAAATGCTAAGTACTTATGTGTTCCTTGTACCTCAGTTTTATCGTCTGTAAAATGAAAGGATTTGGGGTTGAACACCTATAAACTACTTTCCAACTCTCACATTATTTGATTTTCTGATCAAATTCATAATTGATCAAATACTTATTTGTTCAACCCAGCATACAAAACTGAAAAAATGGTTAGAGTTTGGAAAACAAAGTCAAAATCTTTAAGTAAACAAGATCAGAACTGATTTGCTGGGTCACTTAACTCTGTGAGAAATATACTAACTACCATACAAACAATAAGTAAGTAAAACAAGGAATCAAAGACCAGGTTTATGGGCTAGCTTTCATGCTTGTTTGAAATGCACTGGGTTTCTTATACTGTCATGGCAATGGCCTTTTAAAATTTTAGGAATAATATTTAATGGTTGATTTCAAAAGTATTAAAATATATTCACATACAACTATTTAATTTTTATAAAAACAATGATTTCAGAGTCCTTGAAAAATTGTGCTTCATTGAATAAAAACAGGAATTTTCTATTCCTGGAATCATTTGTCTGAAATTAACTTATTTTAAGGCATGGCATTCAGAATGTAAAACTCAAAATGCCTGTTTAGTGGAAGAAGTTTCAGCTGTAGTTTCAACAGTCACTTGTGGTTTATCTACCCAACATCCAACTTCACCACCTCTGCCTCCTTCTTTCTAATAATCAGTACTCTGCTTTGTTCAGTTATCTTTGCTTTGTTATCTATGCTTTGTTCAGTTATCTTCCCTCCTCCATAAGGCTATGTGCTTCTGAGTAGGCATATTGCATCCTGTGACAGTGTCCTAACATTTCTAAGCTGACTGTGGTTATCTCCTGTCCCTTGGCAATGACTGGTTTCATCATGAGTATTTGACACAATTCCAACCAATAAAACCTGAGAAAAAGCCTATTGTCTAGATTCTGCCAAATTTTCTCTTGCTTTTAGAAGGAAATTCATAGAAGAGATGACTCCCTTTCTTCCAATGGTTTCTCATGTATAGATGACTTCTAGAACTGTCACCCTAGAGTAACTGAGAAACTAGCCAAAAGAAAAAGCTGACAATCCAGAGACAGCATAGCACAAAATGCGAAAAGCTTATTTTTTAAAAATTTATTTCAATGGTTTTGGGTGACTTTTGATTATGTGGATAAGTTCTTTAGTGGTGATTTCTGAGATTTTAGTTCACCCATCACCCAAGCAGTGTACACTGTACCTGATATGTAGTCCTTTTATCCCCCACATCCCTCCAATCCACCCCCTAACCCACCCAGAGTCCTCAGAGTCCATTATATCACTCTTAATGCCTTTGTGTTCTTATAGAAAACCTTGCTTCCCTTAAAAAGTTCTTTGCTAATATATTTTTATAAATATTTTGCTTGTAATTTCAATATCTATGATTGATCTGAAATTATATTCTAGAACTTTCTTACAATGATTCTGAGAAATCCTATTTAAACGTGGAAATATGTTTAAATACAGCATTTGAAACTTCTGTTTAAATGTGCGTTCAATCACATTAAAGGTCAAATTCAAGACCCTTGTTGAAATGTCTGCTGTTTTCTACAAACAGCAAACACTTCATCTACTAATTGGGCAATTTTTTTATTATTATTTTCCATGAGCCAAATGAAGATGCATGGACCCACTGATCCTCATCATCATATAACATTCTATTACTCAAAATATCTGTAAGACAGCTGGAAAGGAGAAGAGGGGAATCTAGAACAGTATTTTCCAACAGAAATACAATGTAAGTCACATAAGTAATTTTAAATTAACTAGTAGCCATATCAAACAGGAAAAAAAAGAAAGAAAAATGACTTTAATAATATATTTGATTTAATCTGATATATTCAAAATACTATTTGCTTCAACATGTAGTTACCATAAAACTTATTAATGATAAATCTTATAATTTTATTTTCATACTGTCTTCAATATCAAGCATGTATTTACATTCACAGAACATCTCGATTCTGAAAGCTACTTGTCAAGTGCTCAGTAGTAGCCGCATGCGACTAGTGACTACCACATTGTACAGTCCAGCTTTATAATGATAGAACAGAATAATTGTAACTGAGTCATAGTGCAATGGAATTTGTTAGATTAATATCTGAATTAATTTAAAGCTATATAGCTATAACAAACAAAAAATTTGACTATACATCTTAAGACTGGATCCAACATGGTTTTATTGATCTGTTTGCAGCACTGAACTGGGCTCTCAATATATGTTTATAACAAAAACTTCAGTGTTACACCCCTTCCTGATCTTCACTTCTGTGTTATATCACACTTCACTGCATCTTCTGTAGACTGGGGCCATGTATCCCACTGATAAACATCCATTATTCTCTTACAGGCTAGAATGTATTTTCTCATATGAGAACAGTGGAATGAGGCCTAGAATTTGCATCAGTTGTAAATTAAAGAGATGGATCCAGTTAAAGTGCTTCTGCCTAGCATATAATGAGCTAATCACAGAGCTCTTTTAATGGATCAAGAAATGCTCATTGTTTGTACCTAAAGACTTCTAGGAGCTGCAAGATAAATGTTAAAAACAATGTGTATAAAATGTTTCAAATTGGGGAAAACTTTGTGAATCATTTTTCCCATCGTTTTTACACTTTCCTTTCTGTGCCTATTTCTCCTGCCAATTTGTCTCCAGTGTTCAGGAGTTGCAGCCTCAGCTGTTAATTACAATAATAAAATCTAAAGCTCAAATTATTTTTGCAGTGTGCATATCCACGATGACACTTCTTTGCCTAAGGATTATGTGTAACAACAACCTGTAAGATCCACAGCCCAACATAGAGCAGGCAGGCAAATAATCCCTTTGTGTGTCAGGTTGTCTATAAACTGGGCTTTAGAACAGTTACTAAAAATGTTGTGGAGGATATCCAAGACAAAACATATATATTGTCTGTCATGGTGTCTGTCTCACTCAAAAAGAATGTTAATTTCTTTTCACATATTTTACATTTTCCAAGTGTATTATCTTCCTTAAAAGAAGAAAATGTATGAGTTTTTAAAAAAGATAATGAAAGAAAGAAAGCTGGGAAGGGAGAGAAAGGAGGAGGACAGAAAATTAGGAGGGAGGAGGGAGGGAGAGAAAAAGAGAGGGAGACAGAAAGGAGAAAGAAAGAAGGAAGGAAACATTGTATGTTCTGCCCTTTCATCCTATGCATTTCTTACCAGGAGCAACATAACGTAGGGTAAAAGTTTAGGTTCTGATATTAGACTTTCCTAGTTTTGAAACCCTTATCCTTAACTCTCTCTTGTACAATTTACCTGACTTCTCTGTGACTCAACTTCTCCATCTGTGAAATGGGGAAAAATAGTGATTTCATCATGGTATTGTGAGGATTAAACAAGATGTGAATGTGCCAAACATTTGTAACATAACAACTGCATCCGGCCCACCTGCTACCAAATGCTCTGTGACTGTCAGCTATAATTTATTATTCCTCAAAGGGATTGTTTTCCAAACACATTTCTGCAGCACTCTAGGACCCTGGACATAAGAACTTATACATTTGGTAGTGGTTATTGCTAGCATTCTGTTTCCATTTGCAGAGGGATACAGCTGGAAGCAGTTGCAGCAAAAAAATGAGACATCTGGATGGAAAAAATAATAAAATCAAATGAGCACATGAAATAAAAAAGCCATCACTGGAAAATAAAAATCTACTTTAAACTATTTTCTTTTGCCTACCAGCTATGAAAAGACTCCTCTTTTTCGGTCAGGTTGAGGTCAGAGTACATAGATAGATCTTACTGCATCTATCCTGCTGGGGAACCTCAGTGCACATATTCCAGAAAGAAAACCCCAAGAGGCTCACTCGGTGGCATTTCCTAGGTGCGGGTAAAATAATGAGATCCAGTATCCAGGATAGTTCTGCTTGGCATTATTGCTGTTCAAAATCATGCCACATTTTAATTCAAAATAAAAACAACTTCAAATTTCACCAAATAATGGCTGCTCAAATGCTCTGCTTGTTCTCGCCATCCCTTCCCTCTCACCTCCCTTCTACCCACATTTGTTGATTTTGCTCTGGAAGTAGGTTCTTCTGCTCATGGTGCTTTAGATGTTCTTTTTAAATGGTGAGAGCCAGACCCTTGCTCCAGAACAATAACTGACCTTAGCCTGGCCTTACAGTGATCAGGGAATTCATCCTGAATGTCATGCTTGACAGTGATCTTCTGGTCTGCTAGTCCTTATAAAGCATTTACCTCAATTTCTCATAGCCAGACATTACCAACTTAAGATGGCTCAAGTTACAACGGTTGACTTTATAATGGTACGAAAGTGATATACATTCAGTACCCATATTACCAGTCTGTATTTTACTTTCAGTACAGTATTCAATAAATTACATGAGATATTCAACACTTTATTATAAAACAGGCTTTGTGTTTATTTGATAATTTTGCCCAACTGTGGGCTAATGTATGTGTTCTGAGCACATTTAAGGTAGGCACTAGGGTAAACTATGATGTTCAGTAAGTTAGATGTATTAAATTCATATTCTACTTACACTATTTCAACTTACAATGGGCTTTTCAGGATATAACCTCTTTGTAGGTCAAGGAGTATCTGTATTAACATCTAAGATAAAATGAAAAATTATTGTATCATTGTTGCTTTTCTATCATTTGTGTTTTAACCAACAAAGGGAATGCAAACAAGAGTTTTAGTTCAGCTTGTGAGCCTCATTTGAGTGCTTTCCATATGACAGCCATCATACTAGTGGGAATATGAAAACAAGGACAGGGGCCTCTCTAGTAAATTAGAGTCTAGGAGAGGACACTATTACAGAAATAAGTACATTGTAGTAAACATGTTAAGTGATCCAGGAAAGGTTCATAGAAAATAGTAATGTAGTATGCCACAGATTTCATAAATGGGAAGTAGTGGGAGGGGGCTTATTCTGCTGTCCTAGAGAACCTACTCTATACTCTGTGGGTGACGGGGAATCATGAGAGTGTTATTACTGTGAAGAAAAATGTTTCTCACTAAAAGTATTACTGAGAGTATTTTTAATGCAGAACAAACTCAGCTACTTGAAAGTTCCAAAAATAAAAATGTGAAACTGATATCTACATGTACAAAATATGCACACATCTACCCATACATAACTATATGTCTATACATTGAAAATATAACTGTTAATATCAGAAATGATTTGCAACTGTATATTTTATAAATAATGAATCTATAGCATGATGCGAATTCAAACACAAAATCAGACACAAAGAATAAAGCAATCAGATGGAGGGATTGGACAGCTAGCTTGCAAACCTGGATATTATAGTTTTCTGTATAGCCAACCAGTAAAAAAATGTACATCAATGAAGTGTCCAGAATTTATATTATTCTAAAAAATAAATTTGCCACAAAAATGAATAAGCTTCATCATTAGGCTAAGGAGAATTGAGAAAAGAAGAAAATTCTTTCTGTCATCCAGCCTGGGAAATGTGAGTGAGATTGGTATGTTTATTTCTTTGTTGTCCAAGATTCTCACATACCCTGGGTAAATCACTTTTCAGGCCCCAAACAAAATGTGCTATCTTCTGACTACACAGTCCATGAGTGATAGATTACACACAGAAAGACAGATAGATAATAGATAGATAGATGATTGATAGATAGATAGATAGATAGATAGATAGATAGATAGATAGATAGATAGATAGATTGATAGACAGATAGATAGATAGAGCATAGAGGTGAATGAAGATGAAATGAGTAGAAAAACTTCTCTTGTTTCTCTGTTGGCGCAATGTTCTGGTCTCAATTACCAAACACAGCTGGGCTGGATGAGTCAGTGCACCCACTTCAGCTGATTCCTCTCCAGCAACTCCTGTAGAAGCTACTCCCCACTCCCCAACCCCTTGCGTGGATATGGACATACTTAAGGGAGGGAAATAAGAGCAGAGCCAAGCAAGGAGTGCCCAATATAACACTGGAAAATTAACTTTTACCCAGAAATCTGTTTTTAACTTTCCATTTGCCTTGGCTTTAGGATTTAGGTCTTGTTTTCTTTTACAAAGAACAGCGTGTGTATGCATGTATATGCATGTGGACACTTCAAAGAATATTAGACATATGTAATAAACCCATTATAAATAATACATCTATGAAGAGTGTAAAATCAAAGGGTGTGTTGACACACAAGCCTCTCATTCCTTTAGTTTCATCCTGCTCATAAGACCCAACTTACTGAAACATAAATCCTCAACGCTCTATAGATCACATTTCCATGTCAAATTTCAGAAGAGCCTTATTTCAAAGTGTCTTCTCTGAAGATAGAGATGGCCCTCTGACATGTGGGAATTGCTGCTGCCTTCTAGGTGCATGCTACTCAAAAAACAGCTGATATCAAAGTGATTAGGCTCTCGGGGTCCTCGGAGGTGGGATGTGAGGCTGCACTCTTAAAGCTCCCTGGGAAGTGGGGAGAATGAAGATTGCAGCCTGCTGATGTAAAGGTTAATAGCAGAAAAATAAGCAGAGGATAAGAACAGATATTTTATAAGGCCAGCAACCCCTTGGCCTGTGCTGTCCACACCCCATTCCCCACTCCCCACCACCCCCCAGCATATGCTGTCAGGAAATCCAAGGGAAAACAAACACGAGAGGTTTTTAAAAGAGTAAAATTAATCAAGTTCATCACAGCAGCCCTTATCATACATGCAATTATTTCTGAAGTACTCTAATTCGAAAGACGAGCAAAGGCTTCTGGGTGCAATGCCAAGTGGTTTTGTTCAATGGATTTTTAGAAAACATAAAAGCATTTGAGAAGTTTCGTGAACTATTAAATCTCTTTCTGAAGTTTGCCCAGACACAATATATACTTTTTGATGCATCCCTGATTATTGTCTCTACTTAGAGGACATTTATGTGACCATCACAGGGACACATTCCAGTCCATCTTGCCCAAGGACTGTTTTTGAATAGACTCTTCTGCCATCCCACCATTCGTGGAACTACCTTTCTATACAGAGTACACGTACCATGTGATGTACCAAGTACAAAACAATCTCAACAGTCAAGGAACAAATAGGTAAAAGACACTCATGTACAAACACATACCCATAGATAGAATATGACAAACGTAATAAAGGGTATGAAAAGACTGTAGCATGGCTCATCAAGCAGCAACCTACTGTACTTTGGAAGTGAGACAAGCGTGGAAAAGATTCAGAGAAGAGGTGGCACCACATCCTATACAATAAGGTGGAGTTCATCAGATCAGCAAGCAGGTGTTGGGCATTCCAGAAAGAGAAATTTTATGCAAATGATGAAGAATGGACAAACCCGTGCTCATCAGAAACCTTACACAATTCTAAGAGACAGAAGGGTAGGGAGTGGGGCAATGATGGTCCTGGACAAGCTTGGAAGATAGAAGCTGCAAAGTTAGGCAGTGGCAGATGGGCAGGCTTATTGAATACCATGACAAGTGACTTTTGAAACTTTTAGATCTCCCTTTTCTTTCTACATCTTCATATGTACCTCATGCTAGGGAAAATCAAAGAGGCTAGGTCAGAACAAATGGAAGTAAGCAACCTCATGTGGCAGTTTAGGGCACTGATCACCACAGGCAGTAACATGTGACAGGCTCATTTTCTTGCTACCATCATTCCTTATCCCCATAAGCATTCTAATCTGGCTCACCTATTTACTTTTTCTTTTCAGATCACATTGTCTTTATGATCAATTCAGTTACCAATGCTATTATGTATTATGCACAATGTCATAAAAATCCTTTATTGAATATCAGTATTTGAAGCCTGAATTCAACTGGTATAGGAAAACAATTTGTTATTTAGTAAAACTTCAAATCACACACAGAGCTATAATAGTTTGCACTCATTTCTAAATTATTTATTCATTTAATCAGCCATGTTTGTTAAATGTCTGCTATGGGTATTGGCACTATTATAGGTTGTTAGAATGCAAAAATGAGTAAGATAAAACTTCTGTCCTGAAATTACTAATGGTCTGGTGAGCAGTGACCAGCCCCAAAGCAGGTAACTAGAATATTAAACTGAGCATAATGTACCCTGTTAAAGAGAGCCAAGGTAGCCTTATTTAGAAAGACATTGACAAGAACATTTTATCATGATGGTATTTAATCTGTGATCTAGTGGCTCATAAATGTCTAGACATTATGCAATTCTTATAGGAAATGCAGAGCCACAACACATGGGAAATCAAAAGAAATGCAACATATACAATGCAAAACTTGTATTTTTTCAAATAGATACTTGTGTATATTTGTTTGATAAAAGTGTTTTGTTTTTATCTATTCACATGGTTTGACTGTCTGGCTCCTGACCTGGAAAATCAAATTGAAGTATACCTATGTATTAATACATTTAAATTCTTGTGAACACGAGTTAAAGAACAACTCACTGGGACAGACTTGAGAGTTATGTATGGACTGAGTTGGTCAAGAATATTCAAAATCTGTCCCACTTGACTAGATGCCACCAGTCTTGAGGTAGAGGGCTGCTCTCTGCTCATGACCCTGTAGAAAGTTGGGCAGAGGACAAATCTGACTACAAATGAATTATTCTTATTTTCCTATACTCATCCAAATGTATCCATTTCTGCAATGCTATAAATGCTCTAACTGGAAAACCCCAAAGTTCAGTCTTCACACAATGCATGTTTATTCTTGCTCACCTAGGAGGCCAGTGTCAGTGTTTCTTATTTGCAGATAGCTCCTTCAAACCTGTGGCCCCTCAGTTTCTTAGCACCATCAAGTCTACTCCAACAGTTGTGGAGTTACGATAGATCTGCCTGGAAAGTTGATGTGAGAAACAGCACACAACACTTCTGGGCAACTCCCACCAGCGGGAACATATTTATACAGCTACACTTAATAGCAAGGAAAATGGACCAAAGGAACCTGGTTATGAACTCAGTAAGAGAAAACAACAGGACTGTGACTAACCAGGAGATTCAGCCACACCAAATATCCACACACCTTTCTCTAAGAATAATCTCCAGTAATAATTTACACCTAGTATTGTAGATCACTATCCCAATTCAAATGTAATCATTAAATCATATTTATACTCAAAATATAGAAGATAATTACTTATGTAAGGGGAAAAATAATTATTTTGGATAGCAACAATTTTATTTTGCTTCATCATTTTTATTATAGCTTTTAAAGAAAATTGGTATACTTTTGGAAGGCAGAGTGTTTTATTTTATATTTTTAAATTTAAATTGGGAAGTACATGAAGGTTTGTTACATGGATATATTATTGTTTAATGGTTTGGGCTTCTATGGAACCTGTCACCCAAATAGTGAACATAGAAGCCAATAAGTCTCCCAACACTTGTCTCCCTCTTTTTCTCCCCCATTTGGAGTCCCCAGTGTCTATTGTTTTTATCTTTCTGTCCACGTGTACCCATTGATATAAGTGACAACATACTATATTTGTTTCTCAATTCACTTAGGATAGTGGCCTCCAGTTGGATCCATGTTGCTGCAAAGGACATGATTTCATTCTTTTCTATGGCTGTGTAATATTCCATGGTATATATGTACCACATTTCCTTTATCTAGTCATCTACCATTGATGGGCACCTAGGTTGGTTCCCTGACTTTGATACTGTGAATAGTGCTACAATAAACATATAATCATATATGTTTCTGTCTTTTTGACTCATATATGTGGGTGTCTTTTGGCAGAACCATTTATTTTCCTTTGGGTTAGATACCCACTAGTGGGATCGCTGGGATGAATGGTAGTTCTATTTCTGGTTCTTTGAGAAATCTCCATACTGCTTTCCACAGGGTCTGAACTAACTTACATCCCAACAGCAGTATATAAGTGTTCCCATTTCACTTCATGCTTGCCAATATCTGTTATTTATTTTACTTTTTAATAATAGCCAATCTGACTGGTGTGAGATGGTATCTCAGTGTGGTTTTAAATTGCATTTTTCTGATGATTAATTATGTTGAACATGTTTTCATATGCTTCTTTGCCTCTTGTGTATTTTCTTTTGAGAACTGTCTGTTCCTGTCCTTTGCCCACTTTTTAATGGAGTTGTTTTTTTCTTGTTGACTTGTATAAGTTAGAAGGCAGTATGTTTTAAAGGAAAGACAGCCGAACTTCTTATATCAGAATTCAGGACAGTGGTAAACACTGTGGCAGCCACTACAGTTTGGCTCTCCACTCTCCCAACCCCCTTTTCATTGCCTTCCTCAGCTGTAGACACTGGAAAAGTCAAACCCAACCTTTCCAGACTCATCTGAGCTTTGGTATTGCCGTGGAGTCCAATTATAGCCAACGAAATCTATGTGGAAATCGGCTGGAAGGTTCAGAGAAAACCTTTGCTCTCCTGAAACTGGCACCACATTTTCTTCTCTTTTTTTTTTTCTTTATGCTGACAACAACACAAACATAATGGCTGAGGCTGCCCTGGCATTTAGTTACCATGAGGGAAAGAAACAGAGAGCTGCAAATAACTCAGCCCTGATATTCTTAAGCAATACCAGCAACCACCTCCATCTAGACTGTCATTTATATGAGAAAACTGAAACTTCCAGGGTCTTTTAAACCCAAATATATTTTCCACTACAGGTGAAGCATCCCTTATTCTAAATGCTTCAGACAAGAAGTGTTCGAGATTTCAGATTTTGGAATATATTTGCATGTACATTATGAGATATTTGGTAATGAGACTTATCTAAACTTGAAATTTATTTATGTTTCATATATATTTATGCACGTAGTCTGAAGGTAGTTTTATAAAATATTTTTAATAATTTTGTACATAAAACAAAGTTTGTGCACACTGAAACATCAGAAAGCAAAGGTGTCACTATCACAGCCACCCATGTGGACAATCTGTGTTGTCTGGTGTCACTATCATTCCTGACTCTAAATTTGTATGCCACTGATAAGCAATCATTTTTTACACTTATTCACACATAATCACTTAAAAGTAAAAAGTATGACATACCAATAATACAATGAAAAAGCAATGTGTTCAGGGTTACTAAGCAGCATGGTAGCATCACCAGAGTACACCCGTGTCAGCTGTTAAACAAAAGCAATGACAAACAACTGCAGGCTTTTGGTCTGTCCCTACCTACAATGCTGTATTTGGCTAAAAGGTTAGTGTGTACCGTATTTTATTTTTTCAGTGAGAAGAAATATCAGAAGCATTTGAGGGCCCCAAAATGTGGGTCCTGCAGGGATGAGGAGGCATTCTGTTAGATAGCCTTTTAAAATGTCTTCTTCAGAGTCATCTAACTCAGTAACAACAGTTTATGCCTCAGAGGTCTCTTTTTGATTCTATTAACTGACATAATTTATTGTTCTGTGGTAAGTGCACATGGCTCTAGTCCTTCATTAAGCCCATCGCACATTTTCACCATATTGTCTAAAGGCAGTTTTTCCACAGCTATTTCCGCACTTTTTAATGGAAATTCATAAAGAAATGGCATATCATCACTACATGTGCCATTTTATTACTCTTTGTGGGCCTGCTTGAATGGGGGAATCTGAGTATGCATGTTAAAGATATATAGCAGCTAAACGGGTTTAAGGGGTCTCATTTTTTCTTGCAGACACTGAATAAACTGTGTGTTCTGTGCATTTTGACTGCAACCCATTACATAATGTTGGGTGTGGAATTTTCCGCTTGTGGCAATCATTGTCAGCACTCAAAATGTTTCAGATTTTGGAGCATTTTGGATTTCCAGTTTTTGTATTAAGGATGTTCAACATGTACTGACTGCCACACCAAAAACTTCAATAGGAATAAATAACTACTTGAAGAAGACTATTAACTTCTACCGAGGCCCAATACTCTCATATATATGACCACAACAATATCTATGTCACGGTATTGCTACTCAAGTTACATAAAATGAACATATTTTTTTTAAAGTATATAGAAATGCCTTATTAGTTACTTTTAGCACCAGATTATCATATGTGTACATGAAGAATATCTCTACCATGAATTCTAATTATCCAAGTTTTATATGATTTTTAAAAAGCAAGGCAAATATTTCCTTTTTATTCCATTTTAAAATCATGAATGAAAGAGTTCATCTCACCCTCATTCATAAGTAAATATTAAACTTTACACTTGTGTTTCATATATTCTTTATACCACTGCATCACTGTATGAAATTTTAATGAAAGGTAGTCTTTATTTTATGCATTACGAGAAACAATTTAAATGTAATTTTGGAAATTTTAGCAGCAAATATAATTTCACTTAAACAATGGGAGTATCTTTTTAAATTGTTGTATCTTTCCAGTTCTTTCTAGATTTGTTAAATTTGTTAAATTAATTTGTAAAACCAATTCTTATGTAATAGGGACTCTACATCAGTTTGGCATCAAAAATGGCCCAAAAGCTAAGGAAACATTGGGGAATTCATACCTATGAATTCTGGAGATAATTATTTCTTAGCTGAAATTCAGAAACAGCTAATTGCTTAGAATAAAGTATGATGAAGAAAGAATATTTTCCAAGATTTTAGGAGAGCAAAGGAGCAAAATACCAATGTATGACAGAGGTGGTGGGGAGTTGGAGAAGAAGAAAAACATATATAAATTAATCTTTTATATTGTCCCAGAATGCTTTTGTAGTTGCAGAAACATGAATATTAAAGATATAATCCTTCTAATTAGTTTTTTAATACTTCCAAAAACTCAGTTATACCACCTTTGCCTTAGGGTATAATTTAGTCAGAATTTCATATAGCCACTTACCACCACCCACATAGTCAGTCCCTTCTATTATTCTGTTTCTTGCAATAGCCACTCAAGCAATTAGAACTTTCATATTATTTCTTATGTTCCATAAGCTGTTTTTTAAAAATTACCAACCAAATAGACCTTAGAAAATATTCAGAGTTTAGTAGTAAACTCATAAGTCACCATAGGTAAGAAACTGGCCATATGTTGTCTGCAGCCTGAAATCCTGGCCATTCATGTGCTGGCCTTTCCAGTATCAGCTCCTATAATCTGCCCCTTTCACTTAGTTAATGTCCATTGAGTATCTGCTATGTGCTAAATGCAAACACAGCAGATGACAGGAAGCCTTGACCCTTCCGTGTTGGATATACCATCTCAGACTCATTGACAATATCCAGTTCCCCAAACACATCATGCCCTTCTAGGCGCCCTCTCTTCAGTTGCTTAGAGACAGGAGATTCATCCTTCATGGGACAGAAAGTGAATGTTCTTTTTAAGAGGTAAAGCAGCTGTGTAAATGCTAGAGATTGAAGCTTGGCCTCCAATGCCAAAGACTTGCTGTTACCTCTTTCTAGATAAACAGAATCAAGTCATTGCCTCTTCCTTCTCAGCGCCCCTCACCCCACCACACACATAAACACTCTCATTGATAAGATCGTGGACTTTGGAGTCAGAAGCCCCCTAAGGTTGCTGTGAGTTTGAACAACTTTATTTAACATTCAGAGTCTCAATTTTTATTATGAAACTAGGAAAATAATAGTATTTATTTCATCGTGATTTCATAAAAGTTTTTAAAAGACACCTAAAGTCACATGACTCAAGAATGCTATAGATTAAAACTGAAGATCAGAATAAATGTACCTGCTATAATTTGTATGTTTGTTCCCGCCAACTCTTATGTTGAAATTTGATCCCTTATTTTGCAGGTGGAGCTTAACAGGAGATGGGTGGGTCATGGGGATGGATACCTCAAGAATAGATTAGTGCCCTTCCTGGAGGAAAGAGGCCTGGGGTGGGGGAGGGAGGGATGGCTGCAAGTGAGTTCTCACTCTACTGTTACCATGAGAGCTGGTTGTTAAAAAGAGCCTGGCACTTCCCCTCTCACTCTCTCTGCTTCCTTTTTCAATGTGTGATTTCTGAGCACCCTGAGTCTCTTTCACCTTCTGCTATGAGAGGAAACAGCCTGAGGCTTTCACCAGATGCCCAGCCTTCCAACCAGCAGAACTATGACCCAAATAAACCTCTTTTTATTAATTACCCAGCCTCAGGTATTCCTATACAGCAACACTAAATGGACTAAGATGGTACCCCTTAATCTGCATCACACTTCTTGGCCAATAGCTCATGACAAGGAAAAGAAAAATATGATCATAATAGAAGCTGGGGGGATATTAAAAATAAATCAAATGAATGGAATGATGGGTTTTATATGTTGACTAGAATATGGGAGGACAATGATGAGCCACGTTGAGAAGTGATACGATATCATTAAATCCACCAGAAGACAATCATTCTGGAGGCCATTTTCTGTCTCCTGTTTCACTACTAACAATGGTTCTGAGAAAGGAAGTGATCATAACCTGAACAAAGATAGAGTTCTCATGAGTCCTTTTTCTATTAGTTTTAATAGCACCATGTTGTCATAGCCACACTGACCCATCTCTACTAAAAACTGCATTCCCAATCAAAATGATTCTTCTGGTAGAAACAGCAAGTTCTGCCAGTGTGAACACAAAAGAATGAAGGTGATTCAGGAAATGAGAACTCGGCATTTATTAAAAAACGTTATCTATATAGTTCTAGATCATCAAGATATAATTGTTAGCTTTATCAATAATAAAAGGGAAATGGGTGTACTGAAAGTTTTTAAAGACTGAGTTACTTTGGGTTCAGTGTAAGTTTATCCTAATACCTGAGTATTAAGAGCTTTTTAATATAAATTCATAGAGTAATATTGAGTGAACAGTTCAAACTTTGATTTAATATTAAGTTTCCCAGAATACTAAATCTTGAAAACATAATCATTTCAAAAACAATAGATTATTATTAAAATCCCCAGGGTTAAAGATAAAACTTATACTGTGAAGACAAAAGTAAAAGTATTGAACTAAATATGAAGTTAAACAAGGGAACTAGCAATTGACATTTAGTAGAAAAGGATGAAACAGAGAGGGTTTTGTGTGTTTATGTTTAAAGATTATAACCATAAAGTGTATGGTATAAAGGTAAGTAAAGGAGCTAGACACTCCCGTGCTGTGATTTATGAGGCCCTAGAAAAACTATTCTGTTTTTTAAAATATGTTTTTTCTATCTCAACTATCTAGAATTTTATAAAACCAGAAAATTCCCCATCACTGGTATTTTTCTTTTTTCTTTTGTGATGTGTTAATCCTTTTTTCAATACAAAGTTCAACTTATAAGAAGCTCTGAGCTCTTTACATATACAAGAAATGAATTTAATCTCTCACTTTCCCTCCAACAACTAGTTGATAAGGAAAGTAATCCAGGAAGGAGGGAAATAAGGAATTTGGGTACAAATAGCATCAGGTGTGTTAGAATAATTTTAAGCAGGAGAAGGACTGCTAAAAATCACTAAATCCCTGGATTTGGAATGCTAGGCGTAGAAGACTGGGAAAAAAAAAAAAACAAGACCAGACAAAGGAGAGAAAACATTAACAGCCTCAATACCTGTGTCTCCATTTCACCCTCACTGTGGTCATAGTCAGCCTATCATACATGAACTTTTTCATTCTTTTGGAGGAATATAGCAAAGAAGGATATAGTGGAGCTACAGCAGCTTTTATGTCAATGGCCAAAGGTAATGTTGAATATGAATTTAATCTACAAAGGCAGTTACATAACTGGAGTAAAATGTGAGCCACATTCCTTTCTTCTATAGTTCACCAGCAAACACAAGTTTGGAAGCTGGTGGTTCTTCTGGACATACAAGTCTTCACACACCACTTTCTGGGACATGAGTAATGCTTCAATTTCATTGTTTCCATGGGGACAGAAAATCTCAATGTGGTACTAAGCACCAGAGGTAGAGAATCAGTGCCTTTAAGAAAAGGAAAGGTGAGATCCTGAGCCCCAAAGGACACAGGGTTATAAATAAGCTTTTATATTCTGGAACAAACCCATTTTTTCCCAAGACTATACCCCAGGATCAAGAGAGTTAAAATCCACTCATTATTTACCAATTTTACAAATGAGGAAACAAAGTATAGAAAACTGATGTGACTCAGCTGGGTGTGGTGGCTCATGCCTGTAATCTCTGCACTTTGGGAGGCCTAGGCAGGTGAATCACCTGAGGTCAGGAGCTCAAGACCACCCTGGCCAACATGGTGAAACCCCATCTCTACTAAAAATACAAAAATTACCTGGGCGTGGTGGCATATGCCTGTACTCCCAGCTACTCAGGAGGCTGAGGAAGGAGAATCGCTTGAATCCAGGAGGCAGAGGTTGCAGTGAGCTGAGATCACGCCACTGTACTCCAGCCTAAGCAACAGAGTGAGACTCTGCTAAAAAAAAAAAAAAAAAAAAAAAAAAAAGAATAAAACTGATGTGACTCACTTGGAGGTAAAATAACTAGAAGATAGCAGAGGCAGGATTTGACATCATCTCTCAGTCCAGTGCTCACTAGCCAGCTGAAATTTCCCAAGAGGATTTTGGAAAACAGCCAGAATAAATATTCCTCCAGAACATATCTGTAGAGGTGATTTCTATATAATATCATATGAAGGGAGATTATTCTTATTTTGATACATTTCAAGAATTTAACTCAGCCATTCACATTCTTGAACTATAAAATACTTACCCGTCTGCAGATAACAAGAGTAGTTTGTCAGTGTCTGTAACCAGGCATGGAAGCCAGGGAGACAACATCCAACAACAAAAAGATGGGGAGTAAAATCACAGGAAAGCTAAAAATATAGAATCCCAGAGTGAACAGAATGCAAAGTTCATTTTATCTTGAGAAAACACATTTTTATGGAAAGGGTTAAGGATGTTGAGTCCAGAGACAAATTTTTACGCCAAGATTCACAAACCAATGTAAAAGACACCTGCCTTAAACTCATTTTTTAATGAAGACTTTTCTTTTCATAACATGCTGATAGTAACAGACTAAATTTGTCTCCAGATATGCCCTTGAGAAAGATGGAAGGGAGGCTAACCTGCCAAGTGGGTCTGTCAATTCAACAGCACTTGTCTTCACTTCCAAGGGGCGGAACTAGAGGCAAACCTGTCAGTAGCCAGCAGCCACACTCCAGGAAAGCCAAGTACAAACACCAGAAGGCCAGGAACAGAATGAGAGCCCGATTCCCAGTGCCTTGCCAAGGATCATAGTCAGATAGACTGGGCAGAGGAAAGGTAGAATGGGACACATTTGGGAAGGGTACAAGGATATTATTACCTAAAGGAAATTACCTAGTAGCTTCCATAACTTTCTTCTTCCGTTGGTGGGTGAATTCTCTGTGGTTAAGAAAGCTGGAGTCACTGTAAAGTTCATATACATATATGTTTTCAAACTGTTTTTCTGTCCCAGGGGCTAAAGCTTAACAGTTAAGAACATAAACTTTATGATTAGACCAAATTTTAATTTTCCTCTGAATCTTACTCAAGAATTACTATTTGACTTACTGAGTTTCAGTTTCTCTATTGATAAAACAAAATAATAGCATTTAGCCATCTATTCTACTGTAAGACTTAACTGAGAAAATAATATAATACCCCAAGCATAATTCCTGACATATAATAAACACAGAATATTCTGCTCTTGGCCCTCTGGTGTTTGTACTTGGCCTTCCAAGGGGGCAGACCTCCTGGAAATCAACATAGTGCTGGTGAATTGACAGGCCTGCCTGCCAGGTTAGCCTGCCCTCCATCTCTCTAAAGGGCATACATGAAGACAAATTTAGTCTGTTATTATCAATACCATATTATAAAGAGAAAAGTCTTCATAAAAAGAGGCTAAGTCAGGTCTCTTTTACATTGGTTACATCTGAACACAGACTATACAAAGTAATTGTATTTTATCGTCTCACAATTTATCAAGATGGATATCAATATTAGCTGATAAATTGCAATTAAACACAACCAAGTTGTTCATGATTATTAGGCTATCAACATAGGATTTGAAAAGAACAGGACAAAAGGTTAATGAGTGATTGGTAAGCAGGTATAAAAGAGGGTCAGCACCGATATACAAGGTCAACATACCACAGCATCATTTCATTCCATTAAATTTTCTTTATGCTAAGCTTTATGTGAGAAATAATTTTCAGAAAGATGCAAATCTCTCTGTGGCACAATATTAATTAGTGATGTTAATAGCAATAGACATTTATGAAAATGGGGATAGAAATGTGTCATTTGCAAGCTTGTTCACAGATTCTCACAGAGCATTTTACTTTGAAGATCATTGTTAATTTCTGATTATTTGCCCCCAAGAGGCATCCAGTGCCAAAACACAAGATGTGAATGAAAAAATACTATTACCAATAACCAATATAAGAAAGAAATATGTCATATATCATTTTTAACCTTTTTTACCACAAAATTAATAATATATTTCTTAGTTTTGTCAAGAAAACCTTTGAACCAAATTTAATTCTAATATTCCTTAGATATTGTGGGATATAAAAGTATTAATGAGTATGTTACATATTTGAAAAAAATAACTATTAACTCTTGCATCAAATGTTTATTGGTCATCCTCTGCATGAGGCAATGTCCTAGACACTGAGCTAGAGATATGGATAAATATATTTTGAAACACATTTAAGCAATAGTACCTATAAATAGATCTTTAATGTATAAACATAGGGTACTTCTAAAATCTGTATGCAAAAGTAGGTAAAAAAGTAATTAAACTTTTACATTTAGACTAGTTAATATATTTTTGGAATGACTTTGGCCAAAAGTAAATGAATTATAGTTTTAGCTTGTTTATAAAGCCAATGAAATCATTTCCTATTTAAAAAATCTTTGGTAATACTAAAATATTAATCATCTCTTAAACCAATCAGTCACATCAGATAGAAAGCCTTCCCACAGATACACAAACATGTGCCCATTGGCTATGGAAAAGCACTCCAGCAATCTAACACATTTCTCTCAAATGCGTATATTTTTGTAATTAGGAAAATAATTAAATTCACGTAGTGAATTTCTCCCAGCTTGCTCAAACACTTCATGGCTCATTGATTTAGATACTTTGAGCATGTTAATGACAAGTGACACCCCTAGACATGTGAAATGTGATGTAACTCCTCCAGGACATCATTTACTGCACCTTTGTGGTCTAAAAGATAAAAAAGGTATGCTGAGATGAATCACTTTTATGAATCTGTAATGTATTATTAATTCATGTATTTTTCACAGTTATATTGAATAGAATATATAAATAAAATACAACCATATTCCAATCACGGCAAACTGTATACAACAACACAAGAGAATTAAATGGTCAGCAGGTAGTACTAACTAAGCTATATTTTAAAGTTCTCCCCAAGTAACGTGTCATGTGGTATGGCAGCCAGGGACCTATGCTGGTCCCTTTGTGGATCAGCCACAGAGGGGAGGAGCTAGCTGAGAGCCTCCCAAAGGGAAGGAGCTAGCTGAGAGCCTCCCAGTACAGCACCTTTAAGATCCACTGTGATATTGGAGCCAAGGCCACTCTCTCCTTTGACAGCTTGAAAAATACATTAAAGCCTGATGATGGTACCAGGGCTTGGTACACTTCTACTCATTGTCAACTCATCTACATGGAATGTTGTGCCAAAGCACTCTGTTAAGTGGACTGAGACTTTTCTCTGAGCACCACCACAGTCTAAGGCTTTTCCTATGCAACCATCTTCCTTTTTCCTCTCCTTCAATAGGTGCCAAATCTTTTTATGATCTAACAGTCTTCCCTGCCTACTCCTGTTCTCCCCTCCTGTCCATATTTTTCAAAGCATTATTCCCAACGATCCTTTTGTACTTCAAACTGCATCTTGGTGTTTGTTTCTTAAATGTGTGCAGTTTTGTTCAACATATAGTAAACCTTGGAACCTAAAGCAAATACAGAGTATCACCCCTGAACTCAAGCAACCAAGAATAAAGTGGCTTTTACTGCTTATATCATGCTATGTTAGCTAAAACAGTTTTCCCCATTTTTGTAGTGCATAATTCTAAATAATCAGATCAATAAAAGCTTTAAGATCTTTGTGAAGAGCACAGGTATTTATTTAATCTCTCCCAACATTTTTAATTTGTCTATTGTGAGTTCATATTTTGTATTTATAATACATTACATTAAAATATATCTAAATAAAATATATTCTAAATATTCACCTTTAAAAAATTAAACTATTAATAGTGATTATGAAATGATACTTGTGCCTCTAGGTCTTTGAGGTATCACCACACTATCTTCCACAATGGTTGAACTAATTTACACTACCACCAACAATGTATAATAAAAGCTTTCCTTTTTCTCTGCCACCTTGTCAGCATCTGTTGCTTTTTGACTTTTTACTAATAGCCATTTTGAATGGTGTGAGATGGTATCTCATTGTGGTTGTGATTTGCATTTCTCTAATGATCAGTGATGTTGAGCTTTTTTTTTCATATGATTGTAGGCCTCATGTATGTCTTCTTTTGAGAAGAGTTTGTTCATGTTCTTTACCCCCTTTTGAATGGGGTTTGTTTGTTTGTTTGTTTGTTTTCTGGTAAATTTGTTTAAGTTATTTGTATAGTCTTGATACTAGGTCTTTGTCAAATGGATAGATTGCAAAACTTTTCTCCCATTCTGTAGGTCGTCTGTTCACTCTGATTACAGTTTCTTTTATTGTACAGAGCTCTTTAATTAGATCCCATTTGTCAATTTTTACTTTTGCTGCAATTGCTTTTGCCATTTTCATCATGAAATCTTTGCCTGTGCCTACTTCCTGAATGGTACTGCCTAGATTTTCTTCTAGGATTTTTATAGTTTTGGGTTTTACAGTTAAGTTTTTAATCCATCTTGAGTTAATTTTTGTATACAGTGTAAAAAAGGGGTCCAGTTTTGATTTTCTGCATATGGCTAGCCAGCACTCCCAGAATCATTTATTAAATAGAAAGTCCTTTCCTCGTTGCTTGTTTTTGTCAGGTTTGTTGAAGATCAGATGGTTGTAGGTGTGCCGTTTTATTTCTACATTCTCTACTGTTCCATTGGTCTATGTGTCAGTTATTGTACCAAGACCATGCTGTTTTGGTTAGGTAGCCTTGCAGTATAATCTGAAGACAGGTAGTGTGATGCCTCCAGCTTTGTTTTTGCTTAGGATTTTCTTGGCTATTTGCGCTCCTTTTAGGTTCCATATGAATTTTAAAATAGTTTTTTTTTCTAAGTCTGTGAAGAATGCCAATGGTAGTTTAATGGGAGTATCACTGAATCTATAAATTACTTTGGGCAATATGACCATTCTTATGATATTGATTCTTCTTATCCATGAGCTTGTAATGTTTACCAGTTATATACCCATAGTAATATAAATCATTCTATTATAAAGATACATGCATGTGTATGTTCATTGAAGCACTATTCACAATAGCAAAGACATGGAATCAACCTAAATGCCCATCAATGATAGAACAGATGAAGAAAATGTAGTACATATACACCATGGAATACTATGCAGCCATAAAAAAGAACAAGATCCTGTCCTTTGCAGGGACATGGATGGAACTGGGAGACATTATCCTCAGCAAACTAATGCAGGAACAGAAAAACAAACACCACATGTTCTCACTTACAAGTGGGAGCTGAATGATGAAAACACATGGACACAGGGAGGGGAACAACACACACTGGAGCTGTTGGGGTTGTGTGGGGAGGGAGAGCATCAGGAAGAACAGACAATGGATGCTAGGCTTAATACCTAGGTGATGGGATGATCTGTGCAGCAAACCACCATGGCACACATTTACCTATTTCACAAACCTGAACATCCTGCACATGTACCCCTGAACTTAAGACAAAAGTTGAAGGAAAAAAAAAAAACTTAAAAAAAATAGTGAACATCTTTGAGAACTCTTAGCTCTGTAAATCTGGACAGTTTTCTTAGCTCAGTATTCTCATCTATAAAATCAAAAATTTAATAAATATAGTAATTGACACATGTATGTGTTCATTAAGTAGTGGGTATGGTTTTTGGTTAAGTGTAGTTACCATAGAGATTATGTAGCTACAGTTACTAAAGAGACTAGTTTTTTCCCTCATTCACAAAAATTATTAGTATTAACTTTTGATATGTTTTTAAACACATTTTGTAAAAGCAATTCAAAATTAAAATTTTTGTATGCACAAGTTAAAATAAGACCCCCATAAAAAAGAAATATACACAATAAAATCCAAAGATTTAAGACATTCTACATGTTTTTAGTGTTCTTATACATTTACATACATATTTACGCATATATACATGAATGAAGATAATTTTTGCAGTTCATATAATAGATAAGATTAATGATTTACAAAATTTGTCATAGGTAAAGAAGTATATTTGTCATAGGTAGAGAAGTATATTTGTTTCCAATTGTTTTTATGGCTACAGAATCTATTATCAAATTACACAAATCAATAACTATTTAATCTTTCTCTATTTTCCTACTAGAAAACTTGCTGCAATTAAATGCCCTTTTTGGGAGAATATCTAGAAGAAAATTGAGGAAGGAAGAAGTGAGAGATAAAGGGTATTCACATTTTAAATTTTGATAGAAATTTCTTGATTACTTTATAAAACTTATATTCAAACAGTATTTGAAATTTTCTGTTTTTTATTATTTTTATCCCAACTGAAAGTATTGAGGCATTTTTAAAAATTTTACAAATCGAACGGGAAAATAAAATCTCAGTGCTGTTATAGTTTATATAACCATCATTGAAAATGAGGTTGAGAAACTTTGATTTTCTGTGAATTGTTAACAGCCATTGACCATTTTTCTTCTGTTGGGTTTTTTGTGTTTACCATATCGATTTAAGAAAATTATTTATATATGATTAAGCTTTAATATTTATCTTCCATCTTTTCTATTGTGCTAGGCTGTCTTTTTATTTGGCTCATGGTATCTTTCTTCATAAAGAAGAGTTTAAAATTATCATTATTTTGTTAAAGTTATCTTCTCTTCCTGCATGGCTGTCTGTTTTGTTTTCTACTGCAAAAGGCCCCCCACGCTAAAATATTCTTGACAGTATTTTCATAATTATTTTATTGCACTTAGTTCTTTAATCAATGTGGATTTTAAAATGTTATGAACTAGAAATCTAATTTCTCTCATTCAAATGAATCATTCTTTTTCCATTGGTTCTTTTTTTTCCTTTTCTTCTCTATTCTTTCACTTTTTCTCTTCCACATCATCTGCATATTTAGTCTGACTGAGATTGCATTACATAGATTAATTTAGAAAAATTGGCATTAATAATATAGAATATTCTCACTGATTAATATGCATGTGTAGTCTTTAGTAAATTTTTG